>NC_000012.12:114126794-114278309 GCF_000001405.40 Homo sapiens
GGCAGTACACAAACGGTGTTGGGTAGTCTAGGACACAGCCAGCTTGAAGGAGCTCCCGTGGGACAATTCTCTGAACAAGACTATCAAATCATTAAAATAATCCCTACCTACAGTGATGTTTAGAAGGAGAGAAGAAACTCTAGATTGTCATTTAGTAAGTGTACATTTAATGATAGAAGTGTTGCCATTCAATTCAGGAGGAGTTAAGGGCCTTGGGTAAAGCAATAGGTAACCCATCTGAGGTTTTCAAATATTCATCCCACAGGATTAGTCAGAGGTAAACTTCCCAGTGGACGGGTGTTCACCTCAGCTAGGAGATCAACTTCTGCCACAGCAACAGAGAGCCCCACTTCCAGCATGTGCCTCTAAGTATTATATCATAGAAGGTCCTCATCAGCTACATGGGATTAGGAGGAATCAAAGATTATCTGTCTAGTTTGGTTTTCTTGCAGAAGATTCTGTATTCTGGAGTTAGACTCACGAAAACTTAGAGAAAGCACAGGGATGGGGTGGCCCTTTAAGGCCCTTCCTAGTCTGTGCCTGAGGTATACCTCGTGGTCTTCGTCTTGATCACCCCTCCATTAGGAGTCAGACATTGCCTTTTTCCACACATTGAGCATCAGATCCACATGGGAGGTGGTATGAAAGGGCACAATTTCACAGGTGATGCATAGACCCTTTAACAAATGAAGGCACTAGAACAATGTTGGATGCAGGGCTTCTGTCAGGGCAGGTAGGGGTATATTTATTATCCAGATACCCCTCAGATGAGCTGGGGAGAGGGAAAGTGAGTTTCTTTCTGCCAGGTGGAGACGATCAGGTCACACTGTACTCCAACTGCTCTGTGCACAGAAATAAGCCCAACTATAACCTGGGTTAAGAACACTCCCTTAAGGCAAGAAGGGATGCATGAAGTAGGATACAGGCTGCTGGAAGTCATGTTCTTTTCTCAAAGCAAAGACTTTGACTTTGTCACTAACACGCATGGTTACGAGATCTCCATGTACCATATTAAAGGCCATTTTAGCTCCCAGCACAATTTCTGAAGTTTTCTATGACTGATCTTAGAGGGTTTTTTTTTTTCTTCTTCTTCCAGGACATCTTGCTCTATCTTTCTCATGAATGTAAAAGGCAGTGATCCCTGTCTGGGACAGATTAAAATGAGAAAAACCAAGGCATCTTGGAATGTCCCCCCTAGAGTACCCCTCCACGGCTAGCCAGTTTGGCAATTGCAAGGACAGAAACAGAGGCAGTGACAACCACGGTAGCCACAGCCAATGGGGCTTCTAGTGCCAAGGCCTGTGATAGCACATAGCATAGTTCCCCAGAGCATTCCTGTGAACAGTTGTGATGAAGGGCCACAGAAGGGAACAGCATGGAGCAAGTATCTTGTCTAAGACAGAAGTACAATGAGGGTTCTGAAGATGGTTCTAAAGATGGAGGAGCCACCATAGCGCTGAGGACCCCATGGTGGAGGAGCTTCGTTTCTAGATGAACTCAAACATTTTCACTTGTTTCTTGGCTACATGCACTAGATTGACGTAATAGGGATCCAAAGTGGCCACCCCGAATGGGGGTATTCTACCCAACATAGTACTTGAACATATGGGTTAAAAGAGTCAGTAAAACCCTGAAAATGTGGCCAGCTCAGGCCAGACAGCATCCCAAGGAAGGGAACAGCAAATATGCGGAAGAGATGGGAAAGGTACGTCATCTCTGTCCTGGTTCTCTGAAGGCATCTGGATAAAGGCTTTGGGATACCAGACTGTCATGGGGATGTTAGTCTTTGAGACAGACTAATCTACACTAAAGAAGTGGAAGTTCAGTGCCAAGTTGTTAATTGAAGTAGGAGAAAAAAGGTAGACGTAGTCAATTCTCTCAGACAACCTGGGCACCAGGTTGAGCAGACACCACCCTTTTGGAGTATAGCAAGTATAGATGCAGAGCTCCACATATACTGGGGACTGCTTCAGGGGCACAGGTAGAGATGGACATTCAGGCATGGCCATTCTAGCACTATGACCACAGCCACTCACGTACCTATCATGGCCCTCCCTCCCTCCTACATGAGGGCCCAGGGTAGTTTCCCTTTCCAGAGCTTATCCAGCCCCCACTGCAGAACTAGCATGACCAGAGCAATTACTGTTTAAAATTTAGACCATGTGGCCCATAGCTGCTTCCACCCACCCAATGGCCCAATTGCTGGCCTTTCTGTTCTCCTGTCCTTCCTTCACCATGATCTCCCACCTCCCAAGCTCTAACCTCAACTCATGCAGCATTTATTAAAAGAGTAACAAGCCATTTAACTGGAAATGTCCCCCTCAGCCGTATTAGGAAGCAGTATTGTGGTTGCTACAATTTGATAGTCATATTCTGGCTTTACTTACATGCCTCTGCTCAGAGGAGCCTCAAGTTTGGAGTGTGGGAGGATGAAGACCACTTTGGTTCCAGACTCAAGCTAGAATGACTAACCATCCCTGGAACTGGGAAGGGATAGTGTGCATACCTTCACGATTCATATACAACCTAATCTTATATGGCTTTGTTCAACAGCCTCACCTAATTTCAGGAAAGTAGAGGTGTAAATAGAGCTAAATAGGGATTCTAGATGAGGCTGGGTTACTTTTCAGAAAGCCAGCCTGGTCTGATTACTAAATTATAAGGAATACCAGTTGGATCACTTTTCTTGGTTTAGGACTATACAGAGGTACTCAAGTATAACTCATGGGAAAAGGGTATTATATGAGCCATGAGTGGTAGTGCTCATCTTGGTAGGGTGTTTATGACATATGGTAGGTGCCATTTTGACCAGAAATAAGGTATGAAGCAGAAGTACTTCCTGGAAGTGACAGAATTGGTTTATACTTTAAGAACATTTAGGTCAAGACTGGTGTCTACCTCAAATGTGCATCACTAAGATTCAGTGTAAAGATAAACCAACAATACTGTAACTTGCAGTAAGCTTCACTTCTGCTTGCTAAAGGAGATGGGAAGTAGAAGAGGATTTGATCCAATCAAATCGTAACACAGGAATCTGGGATTCAAGCAACTTGAATGAGGAAGACATCCCAAACTCAGGGAAACTCTATGCTTGTCAACTGCAATAGATGCAGTGACTCACTCAGACCCCTCCTATCCCCTTCATTCTGATGTCTTCACTTACTAGCAGACAGCCCTCATTGGTCAGCCCCTGAAAAGAGCTGCCTCCTAGGTTACCCCATTTCCTGACACTGTTCCAGCCAGAGACTAATCAACAGGACAGAGGTCCAGTGTTCTTACCTCTACTCAGGACAGCTTAGGTCATTCTATCTTCAGGACACCTTGTTGGGTTGGCCAAGGCTTTCATCAAGTCTATATGAACAGCTCACCCATCTGCCCAACCCTGCTTCCTTCTCTCTGTTTCCAGAGGTATCAAGCCCCAGAACCTTCTGGACAGCAAGACAGTAGCAGACAAGAGGGTAGACAGCATCAGGGCCTCCCTTTGAGAGGGTTTGAGAAAGTAAGAGACCAAGTGGAATCTTGTATCTGGAGTACCAGAACCAAGGGTATTTTTACCACTCTGGGAGAGACTTCAATCCCTGGAAGCACCCATCAACTACCTCGGGATATCTTAGAAAGTCAACTGCAGTGCATCTGGGGGTGTGTCTGGATCATTCAGACCAGATCAGGATGTACACACAGCTGTAGCAGAGGGACAACCCAAACAGCTTCTAAGTTTGAAACAGCCCCATGGATCTACCTGCCATTTTCCTTCTTCAGTTGGCTAGTCTACTTCCAGAAGCTTGCATCCTGCTATCTCAAAGACAGCTACTTAAACTGCTCAGCAGCCTGCTGAGATACCGGAGAAGCCAATATTCCACAAGTGTGCTGACGTTGCCACCACCTACCTGTCCAGAGCATTTAAGCCACTTCCCCAAAGGAACTGGGAAGAAATTCTCAGTAACTTTGCCAAAGGCTTCTGGGGCCATCGATACTTGTATACTGGTATCTCAGATAGAGCTTCTAAGTCTGAGCCTACAAGTTGAGGGATGCCTGTCTCACTGTCCTCCTGGCTCTCACCCCAGCCTCCTTGGTCTTCTGAGGTCATTTCCACATTGGGCAAACATGCTCTTAACACCAGTGGAGCTGACAAAAGCTGGGATCATGTGAAATACCCCATTGGACATGTAGGTGGATACAGGTTAATTTCAAGTAGAATGTATCCATCAGAACGCCAAGTTGCATTGCTGGTATTACAGCAGGTAGATGTGCAGTTGAATACATCCGTCTCCACTCTTCCTTATGAGGGTATAATAGCTTTGAGGAAAACAAATAGCAATAGCATCTAGACCCTTAGGGTCCTCTGTTCTTTCCTCAGCTGGAACTGTTAAGAAAATGGAAATGGCCAGGAGGGGTGGCTCACACCTGTAATCTCAGCACTCTAGGAGGCCAAGGCAGGTGGAACACTTGAGGTCAGGAGTTCAAGACCAGCCTGGCCATCTCCCATCTTTTTCAAAGCTTTGAATCTAAAGATGACATCTAGTTGTATTTCCATACATTCTAGTTCACCACGACCTCCCTCACCATGGTCTCTTTTTCACCCAAGTTATGTAGTCCATTCAGAAGGGTTACTTCCCTGTGAGCTTCCTTCCCAAATGTATAGCCCTACGTGGTATCAGCCCGACTGACAACAAAAAAAGGCATCCATGAACATAGCACCATCGGGTTTGGTTTGCCTGAGGACATGCTGGAAGAACTTGAAGTCACAGCAGCCCTTCAATGTGAGTTATCATTCATTCAGAAGTCATTAGACAGCTGTGTCTGTTACCATATTATACCACAAAGGATTAATTGTAAGGTAACACCCAATCACTTATGTGAACCAAAGCAGTGTTGGAAGTACCATCCGTTCCTGACTGGTGTTTATGAGCTGCCAGCCCTAGCTGCCAATCTAGAGGAAAAACCAATCCTACTTTCTAGCTGGTTACTGAGCAAAAGACCCTGGAGGTTGACCCTGAAGGCATGAGAAAGAGTTTCATCTGAAGAGAGTCCTAGCTATGCAGATGTTTAAGATACAAGTAGATCCTATTCCTTAGAATAACCACCCATGAGGAGAGGTGGCTGACAATGCTTCAAACTCCTGAAGTCTTCATGAGTAGTTTTCAGAAAGGGAGTTGACTCCCTGTGAGGGAATCCCTCTCATAGGATCCCATGCCCTGAGAATAAGTTGGAAGAGCTCAGCCATCTAGAGGCCATTGGGGGAAGAGGCAAGTGGTCTGAGCTTTGGCATGTATCAAACTTGAGCTTTTCTTAGAAGGGAGCTCCCTCCCAGGAGCACATACCCCAGAAAAAAGTCAAGTTCGACCAGGTATGGAGCTTAGCTACAAGTAGAGCTCAAGAGAAGCTTGTGAGGTCAACAAGTCTCTGAAGAGCAGAACGGAAAAGCAGAAGCAGTGGCCCTTTCAAACCAGAAAATGCACTGGGAAGGCCTCTGGACTATCCACTGATCACGTGCTGTTTGCACAGTGCACCCTGCTTTGGGGTCTATGGGGTAAGTACCTAGTGTACATGTCCTGTTTCTTCCTTCTGACCTCAGTGACAGTGAGGGTCCCATTCATTCCCACACCCCTCAGTACCATAGTTGGTCAAGGACCCTCCATTGCTACTGTATTCCATCTCCAATCTTTTTCAAAGCTTTGAATCTAAAGATGACGTCTAGTTGTATTTCCATACATTCTAGTGCACCATGACCTCCCTTCACCATGGTCTCTTTTTCACCCAAGTTATGTAGTCCATTCAGAAGGGTTACTTCAGAGAAAGAAATAGGTTCTGTGAGCAACAGCAGGTGAGATCCAGTCATTTTGGAGGCTCTTTTGCCAAGTGGTGCTTTCTGCTTCCAAGTTGCCCCTTTTAAGAAACCCTGCTCAAATGAAGTCACTTTATTTTTGTTCTATTATTTCAGTGAAATTGTTCAGAACATAGAGTATTCTCTTCATTGCTTTCAACCTGCCCAAACTCAGGGGCTCTTCTGTTCTAGTTTGCAGTCAAGACCAGTGAAGACTTTGGCTTCCTGGTATATGAAACTGACTTCACATTTCATTTGTGGCATAGGTTTTTGGGAATAGGATACAGAGAGGAAAGATTACTACTGGCTTCAGCCAAGATCAGCACAAGTACTATATATATATATATATATATATATATATATATATATATATATATATATATATATATATATATATATATTGCACAAATACTTGCTGGCATAGATAATACCTTTTAATCTACCCAGGTTTATACCAGCAAGGCTCAAGTGCACTCAAACCTCAGGGTGACTCTGGAGTTAAGCTTACCCCAGGAAGATAGACCATAGCTGTTAGCACCTGGCTAATGCTCTGGCCATAGGAGGGGGCCATCTGACATGAACTATAGGCCTCCATACAAGGTGGCAGGCTGGGAAAAAAAATCCCACTGGTAGACAAAGCAGCCTATAAACTACTGAGCAAGGGAATATACTCCTGGTAACTCAGAGAACAGGGTAAAGAATGAAGAATGAGTCTGGCAGGAGGCACAAGTGGAAAATATCAGCACCTTCCCAACACATGAATTCTTTGACCACACAGATTCAAGATCTTTGGCCTCAAAGACCTGGCCCTGGAGTGAGGTGAGAAAGCAGGCTGTTTCCCCATCTTTTTGGAGATGGAGTCTTGCTATGTTTCCCAGCTGGAGTGCAGTGGTGCTATCTCAGCTCACTGCAGCCTTTACCTCCCAGGTTCAAGCAGTTCTCCTGCCTCAACCTCCTAAGTAGCTGGAACTACAGGCATGTGCCACCAAGCCCAGCTAATTTTTGTATTTAGCAGAGATGGGGTTTTACCATGTTGGCCAGGCTGGTCTTGAACCCCTGACCTCAAGTGTTCACCTGCCTCAGCCTCCTAAAGGGCTGAGATTACAGGTGTGAACCACCGCACCTGGCCATTTCCATCTTCTTACACTTCCAGCTGAGGAAAGAACAGAGGACCCCATGGGTCTAGCATACAGGAGCCTTAAGATGGAAGGGATGGGTTTACTGAATGAAGTTAAGACGTTAACCTGCAGTTCTAGGCATCTGTTGGTCAGCAAGATTATTAGGACAGAGGTACAGAAGAGCTGATTACATATTCCTGAACAGATGCATGGAACTGCATGTGAAGAAATAAGATGGAGATAAAGAGCTTTAGATTTAAATATAAGTCTGGGAGAAAAGTCGGTCTATAGATGAAGCTTGGTTTCGCCTCCTGAAATAGGCATCTAGAGGTAAGTCACAAGGTAAGCAGCCAGATGCAAGATGACGACTTCCCGGAAATGAGAAATAGACTGTTTCTCTCAGGGTTGAGAAATAGCTCAAGTCTCTACCCATATCCAAAAGCAGATGTTGGGAGAATGCAGGAAGGAAGAAATGGAAGAAATGCCTGGAAGACTAGGTGCTGATCCTCAGGCCAGGCATTCCAATAGCCCTGGGTACCCACGCTGAGGAAGAATGTTAAAAACCAAGGGGCTGGGAGAGCCTTCTGTATCTGACTCCTATCAGCATCCATTCCTCAGGTATCCAGTCAGGTTTGGAATCAAAGACAACTTGTCCTTTCAGATCAGCCTTGGGGGGGAGTCGCTACCCTGATCTTTGTACCTCCTGTGTCCGAGTGCTTTGGCATTTGAGTTTAATCCTTCCTTTTTAAGTGAATGCAAAACAAACACCATGCTCCCTTTCTTTTTTAGGGATAGGGATCCCATTGGTGCTCCCACCCCTAGCAGCAGGGAAACAGACTTTTGTTCTCTGGGGTCAGGGAGGAGACACTCTGGAGGTGGCCCACTCCCAAGCCCCTGCCTGCCCCTCTCAGTCCCAAAGCCAAAGGCTGGAGCCACTGTCAGGACTCATTAGAGGGTCTGAGTGTCTTTGCTTCATTTTTAAGATGTCAGGCTCTGGATAATCACCTCTACACAGAGTTGAGGTGGGGGCAGGCACCCTGGACCAAGTATTCAGGCTCATTAAGGCCAGATCCTTAATGATATTAAGGACGGATGTTACTTGTCCCCTTGCACTGAGCAGTCGTGACTAGCTTTGTTCTGGTCTTTTATGGCCTGGGAACTAATTGATCCAGGGCACAGAGGCTCCATCTTGGTGAATACACAGACACCATAGGAAAAGAGAATAGGAAACAAGTCTCAGCATTTGCCACAAAGCTCTCTCCTAAGACTCATTGAGGGCTTATTCCATTAGGAGGAAGTCAGCCTGGTCAGTCTTGTTACAGCAAGCTTGGAAAAGTTTGAGTGTCTGGTTAGCTTCATAGTTTGGGTTATAAATAGCCCATTCTAAACCAGAAGCATTGAAGAAGGTTAGAGAATAAGCTGGAGCTTGAAGGCGTAGTTTCCAGCTATACACATTGCAGACATCTCGTGTTCCTAGCACCAGTGGCCCAGTGTGGCACAGCAGCCAAGACAGACACCCTTTCCTAAGGGTAGAAGACTCCAGAAAGGAGATTCAGGAACCAGATTTACCACCACGCCCATAAAGCTGTGCAGCTATAGTTAAGTCAAATCAGTAAGTCTTAGCATTTATTATCTAAGCAGCACCAGTGCCTCTCATTTGTCTCCAGGTTATGAAAGACATAGTGGGGGAGGAGAGGCACACAAGTTCCATGAGACATTCCAGTAGGATCACATGGCCCCTAAAATGGAGGTCTGTACATCTCTACAAAGATTTACCTACTTCTGTAGATTTAGCCATAGGGGAGTCTAAGATAACACTTAAAGTCAGCTCTGGTTAAGATGGCAAAGGATCCTCCAGCGACAGCCAAGCTCAAGGGGTTCCCAGAATCCCCGTGGCCAGTACAGTTGTCACAATCACTCTAGAGCCCTGGAGGCCAGGTCAGCTGAAAAGCTGCAAGGAGGACTGCAGGGAAGACTCCTGTTCCTGTCCGTAGACCCAAGTTCAAGGGATAAATCCAGGAATGTTACATAAGTTCACTCAACACGTTGAGTGTTTCAGATTGACCTAGCGAATGAAGCATTTGAACATTTTTCTAAACATGTTTCTTACAACGCAGTTAAACGCTGGGTTGCAAGTTGTTCCAGTGCATGTAAGAGCATGATGGACTGTGCTTGTGTAGTCACTGTTATCTGCACAGGTAGCTTTCAGAGCACTCCTCATTGCAACACCCTAGGAGGCCAAGTAGGGTACCTAGTTCAGAGCACCTGTGTCTTAAAAGCAGAAATTCAGTACTCAGCTTACTACATGCCAGGCAATTTTAAGCCCGTTTAATAGTGTTGAGAATTAAGTCAGTTGTGTGTCTCAGCTGAGGAAGCTAGATGAGTTGACATGCCTGTGCCACAGAAGTCTCACAACTGAGTCAGTGGCCAGGCAGGAGTCTCACTCGGGCTGTTGGGTGCCAGTCCACAGTCATTACTAGATCATACTGCAAAAGCCATAGGGCATTGTCACAGTAATCCCAAGTTCAACCTTGAGGCAACCCAGTATCTCACCCTGAGTGCCTGTAGTCACAGACTTAAGCAACACTTTCTATTACTGGAGTCACAAATAGGACAGATACTCAAGTAAAATGGGCTGTTCCATGAAATTGATATATCCTGAAGTATATCTTCCTACCCAGACAAGGAAGTGGGTCGGCTGGTTTTTATGGATTCTCCTTGTCCTAGTCTTTCAAGATACTGATCTTCATATTGGTTCTTTGGGGTAAGGGAGGGAGACTGCTTTCAAATTCATTGGGCAGCAATAATGCAGTTCTGCCCAGTTTTATATACCAAGTTCTACAGAAAACGGCCTATCTCACTTTACTCAAAAACCATGTCTGAAGGCAAAACAGCCTCCCAGGACTTCCTTGTTTTCTGGAATCATCATTTGCACCTTGGAACCCTAGCAGCACCCTTCAGTCTGTATACCAAATGAACTTAGGTCTGGCAAAGCACAGCTCATAATCAGCAGTATCTACTGTGTACAGTTGAGAATGGATCCTGCAGATGTGGGACAGCTGTTTGTACTTAGCAGTTAAGTGTCCCTGCAATGCAGGCGGCCTCTGACAAAGGCATTGTTCTTTGCAAAGCATCCATCTCTCAAAGACTTTCTAAATCAGGCCCAGATGTTTACATACAACTCGCATTTCTCTGAAGATTCCTCTTTCTAGAGAAGTCGGTTTTTACTAAGGTATATGCAGAATGCACAATCTAGCATGCACAACCCCAGAAGGCAGGATTCATATAGTAGTTAGGTGCTAGGAACAGGCAAGACACCTCCATAGTCTAATCCAACCCTCAAGCCTATGAGGTTGACAGTATGCCCATTTTACAGATATGAAAGTAGCTAATGCACCAAGACATGCAGCAAGACACAGTACCAGTTTTTGAACACTAAAGCCATTCAACAAAGATTACAAGTTAGCCCTAAATATCAGTCCTTACCTCTTCCCAGTAACAGAACTTCTCTTTTTAGTTAGGTAAACCAGATTGCCCAGAATAGGCAGTTTTTCTGGTAGCTATGTGTGGTCGTCTCACTAAAGAGACAGCAAATGGAACATAAGTAGAACTTGTGAATTCAGGTCCCAGGCACTATCCTTAGAGCAGTGGTACCTCATTTATCCCTTTTTTAAAATCTTCCCATTGGTTAGAATCCAGACAGTAGCTGAAGCTCTAACAGAAATCTTGGAATATAATGCAACCTTGGGAATGAATGCCTTGCACAGAGTGACAAGCCTGGAGATTTTGAGGGCCTCTTCCAAAAAAAGCAAAGTTTGGGGAAAGAGAATGTCAGTTTTCTTGGCTTCAAGACTAGACTTAGGAAGACTCAGGGTAGAGTAGTGCTTTCCAGGGAACAGGGTCAAGTTAGGAGTTGAGCTACTGAAGTTTTTGGTTTCAAGTCTCTGGTCAGAACCCTAGGGCAGACCAGAGTTTATGATAGCTCAGGTCATGGGTGTATCAAACACCACACTGAGGGCTTGTGTCGAGAGATCAGCGATACTCTAGAGTCACTGTGAGACCCTCAAGCCATCCACCAGCACTTGTCTAACTTCTTACTCCTTAGCTGTTAACACCCAGACTCGCTCCCCCTAAACTAGAACACACCTTGGTCTGTGTCAGTCTTCTGAGCAACCAGCTCTCATGGACTATCTTCCCTACTATCCCTAGGGGTTCCCAGAAAGGGACAGTATGAGCCCTAAGTAACTGAGGCATAGACAGTTACAGATCAGGTGACATACATTGGGCCTGGTTCACAACCTGCATGTACGTTGTCTTAGTCTTTGCAATACTCATTTTAGAGGAGACTGGAGTTTATAGTAATACCATGTTCATAGTCACAGCTTTAAACCCAGGTTTAAGTCCGTTTTTAAGACGGCACCTCTACAAAAGAAATCAGCTTTAAGAGGGCATTAGTAAGGCTTTGGTGTCCTTGAAAATAGAACTAAAGTAGTGCTGGCTCAGGGGATGGGATTGATTGTGGTGATTGGAAAGGGTCCCGGCTCCCACTGTGCTTGCCCTTCAGCCCAAGTGCCTACTTAGATTAGTCCCCAGCAGATCTCAGGGGGAAATTACAAGCAAGTGTTCAATTTCTCCTTCCGCAGCAGTTTGGGGCTGGGAAATTGTTTCTCCCCTGCAATCTTTCTACACTCACAGCTGTGACTCTCTGCACTGTCAGTGCCTTGCCAGCAGGTTGAAAATGAATGTATTTCCTGTGGATGGCTGTCAGGGAGGACACATGTGCATGTTCACCTTCTTGCATTCAGGCACCAGGTCTTCTACTGGGTGCCGGCAAGCATGGGGGAACACAGTCCCAGGGCTGACGTGCTAGGCATTGTCTGCCATCTGTTCATCTAGGGTTTCTGATGAACAGGGAAGTCTGATTGACCCCTGCTGGAGCCCCTCATAAGCCATGGCAGGAAGTGCTATGACCCCACGTGCTTGCACTGGGGAAGGGAAGAGGAATGCCTGACTCGTGGCATTCCTTCTACTCTGAGGGTGTGCAGAGAGCTAGGATAGTGGTACACTTTCCAGCTATGGCTTCCTGTGCTTAAGACTGCTTCTGTTTGCTGTACAACTCCTTCTGTATGGGTAGGGTATGGAAGGGAGAGAGTTTGTCCTGAATTCATATTTTTTGAATAATGATATGTCCAGTGGTTTATGCAACAATGGAGTCACTTGGAGCAAAGTGACCCAGTCAGCTTCCAGTGAGCTTAGAGAGCATTTTCCAAATCTTACCTTTTGAAGGTCTTGCTTAGATACCAGTTATTCCAAGCAGCTTTTGCTGGTTTTCCATCAAGCTTCAGGGACCAGCGAGCACTTCTGAGAGTTCTATAGCATTCTCTTGACCCAAGGCCATTTATCAGGCTGTAATACACTGACCTGTCTCCCAGTAGGCTAGACTGTGGGGGCAAGGACATAGTGGTATTTAGTCACTTACACGAGTACTGGTGCACCAGGAAGAGTGTTAAGGCCCTTACCTGACACATGCAGTTTTGAGAAGTTATTCCCATTTTACAGATAAAACTAGCTCAGAAGGTAATATTCACCCAGAGCATGTCAATAATAAGAGGCAGAAAGGAAATAGATGT
This sequence comes from Homo sapiens, assembly GCF_000001405.40. NCBI lineage: Eukaryota > Metazoa > Chordata > Mammalia > Primates > Hominidae > Homo > Homo sapiens. The sequence continues at coordinate 114,139,367 of NC_000012.12, forward strand.
AGTCCAAGGTCAAACATTGATCATTAAGAGTCAGACACTAGTGTTTAGAGTGAACTCAGCTCTGTGAAATCCTGTATTTGCAAAGAACCTAACACCTAGAAGACTGTCCCAAGGCAGCTTCTTCAGTGATGTTAGAAATGTTATAAGAATTTCCTATAGGACAGCCAATGTCAAGGCTTATTTCCATCTATTATGGCAGTTTTTTGCAGTGGAAGTACCATCCCAAGGTCCTAAGTCATCCTAATAAGAGAATGTGAGAACATTGACAAGCCTTAAACTATGGCCTATGTCCTTACCTCCAGGAACATACTTAGGGCTGAATTAATGTCCATTCATGCATCCATTTCAATAGTGTTGTCTACCCACCTGTCTAGAGTCTTGTTGGGTGTTCTGAGGTCCCAACCTCTGTCAGGCAGCCCCTTGTCCTATGGCTTTTACTGGAGTTGACACCCAGGTGTGGCAGCTCCCCCTGTTGCTAACTTGTGAGTGCTTTCCCATTGTTCACTCCCTTAGCTCTGCTCACATCCCTATGAAGCCTATTCCTCATCGTCAGCTAAATCCCTTTGAAGGCACCAGCTGCTCCTCACCAGGGCCCTGGCTCAGCACTAGATATATAGTTAACTGGACCTGGTACAAAGCGAGAATGTGGATACCTTGTTTATAAGGCTAAGGCTGTGGCATCAAGGTATTAACAAGCACAGGGCCCCACTAAGCACAAAGCCCTTTGTGGTTGTAGATTGTACACCCATGAATCTGGCCCTGCATCCACGTAAGCAATGTTTTTTCATTCATCCAGGCCAAGGCCAATCACACAGGGCTACAGGTAAGGGATGGTTAAGTGCTCTACCAGTGTTGTGGCTTTTTGGCAAGACTATCCACTGGACATGCAGTTGGGATTCCCTAAGAGGGGACAAAGTCTGCCATTTTCCCCAGGTATGAGAACAAAATATGGAGACCAGTAGTCCATTCACCTTGGTCCAGAGAGTTTGAGAATGAGGATAAGGGAGGTGTCCAGCTATGTGCTTCTATAGCAGGGAGATTTCAGATTCACTGATGGTAAAGACACTAAGCTAACAATAGTTCAAGATATGAGCTTTTGCTTGGCTGAGCATTTTACATGCATTCCAAGTTCATCTTAAATGAATAGTCTCACTTTCCAGATAGACAGGTATGGGGCAAGAAAGTGACATGCCTAAGTGTACACAGACAGTATAAGTGACAAACAATTTCAGACAGTGTTCTCAGAAAAGCACTTATCTGTGCTGATCTGAGCTAAGCATCTTATACTATTTATCAAGTCCTCACATCTCAGTTGACTGTTGTGGCAACTGTGGAACTACATCAAGTCTGGGAAAATAGCTGACAGGTGGCCCCAGCTGCTGAGGTCTGCAGAAAATCTGCAAAGGCCATTCTCTCCATGAGTGACTCCCAGCTGATGAGTCCATTGGCCTTGCCAAACTTTCTTGGACTGCCTCATTTAGTATGCTTCTATTTAGCCTCTTCACAGAGGCCAAGCTTGCATCAAGATCTAAATCTCTGTGTCCTCCAGCTCCCTTATCTATTTTCCTTTACAATTCTCTTGCATGTCTAATCCTGCTTTAGCTTCTCAGGACCTAGATTAATGCAGGAGTACAGCATCCAGTTTGAAGACTAAGGCTCAGAGGTTAAGCCTTTGCCTAATGCCACATAGCAATAGTCAAACCCAAATTCAGAGTCTGGAACCTAATTTCAATTGCTCTAAGCAAAGCAATTCTGACTTGGCTCCAAATCACGAGTCCAGGTTGAACTTTCTGTAACTGATGGGAGTGCTCAGTCTTCTGGGCATTGAGAAGCTAGAGAGTCAACTTGTTTTGCAGAGTGATGATCTGAAGGAGTCTCCTACAGGAGGTGCTTCTCCACTTCTGGATTCCCAGGTGTGTGGATAAGTGGACCTGCCTGTGAGGCATGTACTTTAAGTCTTAGGACTCTTTAGTGGCCTTCAGTATACATCTACCTTCACTGTTATTAGTGCAAGAAGAAAGTGTCTACCTCAGCCTCCTACCTCTACCTAGCTTTTTCAAGGCCATAGATGTAACTTTGGATCTGTTAACTAGTTTAACCCTGAAACTTGGACCATCTATACCAAGTCTTTCTAGTTCAAACTTAGCCTCCCAGCCCCTTCCAGTGTTCCAGGAAGATATGCAAAGAATATATTTTGTCTATTAAAAGTCACAGCCTGGGTGACCATTTAACCCATTTAAGGTGGAGCAGGGTGGGGGGTGTCCAAACAAGATTCAGCTAAGAAATCAAGCTAGATCTACAGGAACCAGTGTGGAATGATTGCCACAGAATACTTAAGCAGATAAACTAAGATGTGGCAGGAATTTATGATATGATCCTATGTGTGAAATATGCTTCTAATGATCCTAGTCTAAGCTGAGAAAAGTTGTGTAGCCTGATGCTTTATCACTTGTGTATGTTGTCTTATAGCAAGTTTAAGGAATTAGCTTTTCTAGCAGATGCTAGGAAATATTCACAGGCTGAACTGCCTAAATCCTAGTACATAATTGCTGAGTGTCTAATACTGCCCAGAGTTTACTGTCACCCAGTTGTCTCCCTGGCCCCAGGAGAGTCCTTCATTCTCATGCTTCTTGGAAGCACATGTAAGCCAAATGGGGGCTTCCAACTGGCTATCAGCTCCATGCTGGGTCTGAGCATTGTGTTCATTTGCAGTTTCACCGCTGCAGGCATTTCCAAGGGATTACAATCCTCACCTTTGGACCTGATCACATCCTGCTAGGTGTGTTCTAATCACTGTGGCAGGCCCTGGCTGTCATGCCTTATTACTTAAATATATTATCACGGCCTGGCCTCGGCCAGAATGGAGGGATTAAAGCAATAAAACTAAATGGACAAGTGGCCAGTGTTAGAATTTTTCTTACTCAGAACCTCTGTAGGTAATGGTACACAGCTGTAAGCACCCTGCCCCCACCCGTGCTTCCTTGCTGCACAAGCACTCCCCTCCCTCCCAAGCCTGGAGCCAGCTGCTTCTGTTCTCCATCAGTAAGGCTGCCTGGGATTGGTCCAGCTCTAGCCCTCAGCCAATTAAGCTCCTGAAGATGGAGACCTGTTGCTTATCAACAGACAAGCTTACTGAGTCCCAGAGGTCCTAGGGAGAGGGTTCATGTACTTTGGCCAGGATAGGTACTACTTGTACAGGCAGCAATTCTGGCTTCTTCCATACTTTACTCCTGACAGCTCTGGGAGGGGTGTATTAATCTCTAAGTGGGCAGGGCATTGCTCAGAAAGATGGGGCAAGATGTAGACAGTTGGTGAATCAAGGTGAGGCTACATTACAACTAGTGAATATTCTGAGTCTTAAGTGCATCAGGAGTTAAATGATCTGGGTGTAAGTTATTTAATAGAATCCTATTTCACTGTATGGCAATAGGCACACTGAATAGACAACCATTACACAACCTCAGATTAACAATGGTCAACTGAATGACAGACTAACCTTCCATGTTATGATTGCTGAATTGTATGGAGTTTACAGGTTAAATAGGAAGGATTATTTTGAAAGAGGAAACACATGCCTAACGCTGCTCTTTAAAGGTACTGGCCACAAAACTCACGGCTCAGACCTGAGATCACAGCCTCAGGTTCTGCCTTATCAAGGGCCTGTGCACAGGTGACTAAGGACTGCCTGAAGGGTAAGGTTTCACCTACTTTCTTAGAAGTTGAACTTCGCTAATTTAGACTTGTGAGATATGTACTTAGATTGTTTGTTCCTGGGAGGACAATCGTCCCAGAAATTCTTGGCCCTGGCTTGTACTCGCAGAACTGTTTACCATCACTTTATAAGACCAACTCAACACCCAAGAGGCAGCACTGAATAAGAGCCTGGGTTAGAGTCTAGACCTAGAATTGAGCGTAAATTCTACCACTTCCTTGCTGCAAAGCTCACAGGAAGAAAAGCTTGAGCTGGTTCTCTTTACCCTGAAAGGACAGAATCTTATGCCTCATGGATTAAGACACCAAAACACTGTCTTGAGGCCTGGCACATAATACTAGTTAACATTAGTATATCCTATGGATTTCAGCTCTTGGCATCAAGATGATCTTGTTGCATCTGAGCAGGCTTGAATTTAGACGAATTAGTCACCATGAACCATGTTTCAGGCCAAAAGGAAGCTTAGAGCCAAGTTTGTATCCCTTACTGAATGACTCTATGGGTTTGTGTGCAATATGCTTACCCTGGCTTTTAGTTCTACTCCAAACATTTTAGATTCCCCATTCTGAGAGTGGCAAGCACTTGAGGTCAACGCAAGGTAGTGTAGTTACCTATACTTCTCCATTTCTAGACTCCCGAAGGTTTGGCCAAGAGTATCAGCTCGATGTCTTCTCCCAGAGCTCTAAGGCAAAAAGAACGTGTCTGAGGCTGGCTTTAAGACATAATATGTGTTTGGAAGCCTCAAGGCTTAGAGAGTGTTCTAGAGCAGTTTGTCATTAGAAAACTCTGCAGGCTGAAATTGACACTGCCAAGTTTAGGGACATATGCAGATGACAAACCCAACTGGAAATTCAGAGATCTGAGGTCCAATTCTGACACAGCTCTGGATGAATTGTTTCACTTCTGAGCAGCTTCCCATCTGTAAGATCAGTAGCATATACTTGACCCCAGCCTAAGGTTATCATGAATCTCAGGAGATCACTTTAGAAGCCAGAACAGTGTAGTCGTACCAAGAGCAGAACAAGAAGACCCCCAATTTTGTCCAAGTTCCCAGCTGACAGCACAAGTGGAGAAAGGTTGGGAAACAACAGGTCTACTCAACTGAACAGCTTACCATGAGAAAGCTTAAGCTGGAGACATCTGACAGGTGTTAGACTAAGCAGTAGTCCTATGGGAGAGAAGCTACACCATTGGAATTGTTTTAGAACAAGCAGCCCAAGGGACACTGAAGGTTTTTCACTGGACTCTGGAAAATGGGAGTCAAGTAACCCAGTCAGCTTTTTCCAACTCCTGTTCTGCTCTAAAGCTCACAGTAGAACCTAGGATTTGTGTTCAGACCACTAGTCTGATTGACCAAGAGCTGAGATCCCATGAAGAGACTTTCTTCACCTGTCATTGGAGTTCCTAGCCATTCCCAAGGGGAATTAGAGCTGGAGCAAACTCTTAGAGACAGATTGAGTTGGAGCTTGGGGTGGAGTGGTCAGTGTCTAGGTTCCCAGCCTTAAAATTCTGGCTTCTCAAGTTTCCCATTAAGCCTCCTACTTGAACTGCTAGTTTGAGATCTTTGAACCAGTTCTGGTAACTCACCCCCAGGTGTTGTCAGCTGCCTGTGATCTACCACCACCACCCCTCATCTCTTCCTGGCCTTGTCCTGTTGGACCACCCAGCTTCCACACTTTAGCCATGTGAGTCTCTGTCCCAGTCCTTAGTCTAGAATGCTCTTTACACCTAGCTGGGGAAGCTTTACCCATTATCCTTCTGTCTCTAGAAGGGTGGGCATCCCCAGAGATCTCTGGATTTTCAAGATCAAATCTGCTCATCAAGCCCTTGGTACTACATTTTTATCCTTCATAGGACTTAGTTATGGTTTGGGATTTGGCTGAGACAGATGTGTTTCTAATACAAATGGGTCAAGAGAACAGGTATCTATGACCCATGGAGTATAGGAATGTGAGTTAATCAAATGCATGACCATCACAAGGAGACAAAAGCTCTCAAACCAACACATTAACAAGTATACTAGGAAAATCCCTGCAGGGTGACAGTTGAGGCCCTTAACAGTTACACAACTGTGAGGGGTTCCAGGCATGTAGACCTCCCTTTCTTTCCTACCCCTGAGTTTAAAGTGAAGTCAGTATGCCATTCATCACATCAGATCAGGGACTGAGATAAGTACTGTCATCTGCCTTACCTTCTCCCAGATGGGTCCTAAGAAAGCTAGGTACCCAAAACAGGTGCTGTTTTAGCAAAATACAAGGTGGTCCATTAGTCAAAGGCTTTAGTATACCAAATCCAACGAGCTAAGCACCAACTGACATTTTTCTGAAACTAGCTTCAGACCATGGCAGCTACTGATCTTAGCTCCAGGGACCTTGTCCCCATTTTGAAAACAAACGTGCTAATGTGGACTTCTTGCACTGGGAAAGACTGAACCCAAGATCATTTCAGGGAGATTGATATTCCACAAAGCTCCATCTACCAAGGAGGCCCAAGATCCTAGAAGTAGGTGAACATCTGCAGAGGAACCTGTGAGTTGAGAACAAGCCTGCTCTCAAGAACGACATTTTGAAAGAAGGTAGAGCTTTAGAGCTTTAAGAACAGTAGGATGAAGACCAAGGGACGGTAGAGCAAGAAGAAAAGGAGTTATGTCCTTGGAAGGAAGACTTCAGGAAGGGGTTTATCTGAACTGGTCCAGTCCCTGGATCTTTTTTTTTTCCCCCCAGCTGTAGGATTCAGGATGTGAAGTTGCTTTGAGGCATCCTAGTTTAGGCTGCATAAAAAAGGTTATACATATCCTCAAAGCTTTTCCTAATCCAGGAAAGCATGGATGTTCTAAGCATGAGTATATCTCACTTGTTCTCAACAAGCTGACTCATGGTCTACAATCATGATGCTTCATGTCTGAGATGGCTCCCTCACAGTGCCCTGTCCCACCCCTGAGCTCATTTCAGTTCTGTCAGTCATCTTTCATGGTCCTTATACTTGAGACAAGAACCCATTTTCCTCTCAAGTTCTTAACACCTAAAAGAACACTACACTTAACTGTTGAGCCTTGTAGCTACCGTTAAGAACATTTGTGTTGTACATAGCCAACTAGGATAATGAGAACATACACGGGCATCACATTAGCATGGTTGTGACTTGACCATCACCCCCCAGCCCACATGTGGTCTGCGTCATTCCCTCCAAGTCATCCTGTTCTGGGTTCACGCACCCTCTGGATCCCTCTTCCTGCTTTGGCTTCCGAGTCTGTCTTTGGAATCAGTTTAGCTTCTGTCCTTAAGGCAGAAAGACTTGCCCCACACACCCCCAAACAGTGCAGAAGTCACTTGCTGCTGCAGTTGAGACTCATCTACCCCTAAGAACATACACAAGGCTCAAACCAGTGGCAGTAGTCCTCAGTGTCTCAGCCTTTGGAAGAACCAGGACCTGGCTGACCAGTGTCTCTCTAGGTGCCTCCTAGGTGTCACTTCTGTGATCTTAGTTATAACACGGCCTTGAAGTCTTCCACAGGTCTCCAACTGAGATTCACTCACTGGGTTCTGCACATGGCTAGCAGCCCTTCATGGGCAGGTGTAGTGAAGGAAGGGAATGGTCAGTTATATTCAACCCTCCACACTCACCTGTTCCTTAGATCCAGGGAGGTCTGCATTGTCACCGAGATGTCCAGGCTACTAAGGTGCTTTTCCCTTATGAGCATTTGCTGGCTTTAACCTGAACCAGAATGGACTGACCAGGATAGGCATCTTGCTGTAAAAATCCTGTTGTGTTGGAGATTATAGCAGGATCGCCTTCCAGGAAGGGCACTCACCTGAGCACAAAACCAACTTAAGGAAGCTTGAGTCCTTGACACATATTAAACTTCTAGATAGCTAACACTAAGTCAAAAGAATATTTCCTTTATATTCCTTTACCCAACTTCCCCTTGGCATCTAATATATCCATATACAGCTATCAGAATTAAGAAGTTAGCCTTGATAAAATGTCAACTAAGCTATGGAATTTCAGACTTTAGTTTTCACTAATGTTTTGGTTCCAGAATCCAGTCTAGAATACTATGTTGCATTTAGTCATCACAGCTCAGCCTGACTGACCCTTTTAAAGGGTTCTGGTCAGTTTTGCTAAGTGTTCCTTCAGGCTTGGCAGGTGTCCTCATGATTGAGGTTACACATTTTGGGGAGAGGTATTACAGAAAGGATACACTAAAAAGGGCTCTTCACATCAGGTGGTGTGAAAGGGAAAGACGTCTCAAGGCAAGTTATCAAGATGCTTTATAGTGTCCTGAAGATTCTAGAATAAACCCTGATGCAGAACACCTTAGGCAACCCTGTTAGCTCCTGGAAACGTTATACAGGGAGTATTTGTTGATTGGAGGGTTGTATAGTTGGACAACATAGGTTAATGGAGTCATGTTCTTATTGGAGCACAATAGAACTGACTCACTCTGTTCAATATTTGGCCAGTGATTTGAGTAGTGGCAGGTCTGGTCAATAACAACATCCTTAGAGCTAGGATTATTCCCAAGGGCAGTCAGGGGCTTCTTCCAGTCTTATCCATAAGTCTTAGAAACAAGGCTAAGTCAAAACTTAGATCTGCCAAGAAAATGAGGCTTGTCTCAAATCATTTAGGTGAAGAGACTTACAGCCTAACCTTTCAGAATTCTAGTGTTATTGCCAGAAAAAAAATCTAATTCACAAGGGCTATCTCATAATAAACATTGCCATAATGGTTAGAACTGAAGTAGCATTCACTTCATACTAACTGTGTTGTCAGATACAACATAACATCCCATGAGGTATTTGGGATATTCTAGTAGAAAACATCTAATTTGCTAAGTCTAGCAACCCCAGTTGGAGGCCACATCTGAGGAGTGGATGTTCAGTCGTGGGTATTTTGAGAGACAGTGGGATTGGAGCAGACACTTTATGGACTGGAACGTAGTAATTTGTCCAGGCAAAAAGGGAGGTGCAGCAGATAGATACATGGGAGTAGGAGAGCCAGCACTATGCAATGCTCTGTGCAGTCTCTATTCCAGAGCCCCCACAGAGCTGTCAGACTTGAAGGGAAAAGTGAGGAAGTAGAATTGAATGGGGAGAATCACTGGGCTGTGATGCCTACCTAGCACAGGTATAATTCCAACAAGCCTTTTGCACTCCTAACTCCATCTCAGCATCTGTTTGCTTCCAGTGCTGGTTGGGTTTTCTAGAAGATAGTTTTCAGTCAAAACGAGGACCGTCCAACACAAGTCACAGGCAGATTTTGTGAGGGGAACTGCCATGGGAGATACTGAGCACATCAGAAGTCACCAAATAGGTTGACCAATTCTCTGGGATGTTAGGAGTGTTATTTACACTAGCTTAGGCTTGCTAAGGTGAGTCTACAGACACCTACCTACATACTTAGGTTTCACTGAAATAGCGTTTCACAATCAGCGCTTAAGGTCAGTAGCAAGAAGCTTCTTTAAAGTATAAGCACTTAGTAAAATTTAAGTGACAAGCCAGCCTTACTAAGTTACATCTGAAGTAGCATACTTAAGATTTATTACAACATGTAACTATGAATCTCACTGCATGTTTTAGATTCACTCTTAACTCTAACACTTGCCATGGACTAGGAAGTCAAGCTATTTTCAAAACATGTCACCTAGAATGCATTCACTGACTTATCCTCAATGAGTGCCAGTGAGGCATGTACAGATGAGTAACTCTCCAGCTCGTAAGCAAATCTCCACTGGACATAAGTCTGTTTCCTCTGTGACCACGTAGAAATTCCAAGCAGGTGGCACTGGCATTTCAGAAGCATAATGTTTACAGCAGTTCCTTGGTAGAAAGCTTGCTGTGGTACACTTGGGTAAACTCAGTTGAAACTGACAAATGCCTTTGAGCCATGAGATGTAAGCTGGCAAAACCCACTCTGGTGTTTGTCTTGAGTGACTTCAGTTAGAATTCAAGATAAGCCAGGAATAGGGTGATAACTGATTCACCCTGTTTAACTTTATGATCTGGGGGGCTGTTATACCTCCACAGCCTCAAACTCATCCACCTAAGTCTGTTGATGAAGTGATAGGGGTAAGCAGACAAGGAGGACCAAAGTTGTGGAAGGACACTTTACTGGATGGTTTAAGGATGTTATCTTTGAGTTAGAGCATTACTTCAGGTTTATATCCTTTAGTTGTATTTATATTGAGTACTATTGTTTGTGGGCACATGGTAGAGGGTTTCCAAAACTTAAATCCTAAATGTAATGCTATTGGAAATTCTAGGTAAACATGACAGATCACATTTCTCCAAGTTTTGCTCAAAGAAATTAAGAGTTATTAATTTGTAAGGACAAACCGAAGTTAACAGAATCAGGAATTTCCAGATGAGGTGGCATGCATGCCTGAAAGGAGCTCAGAAAGCCAGAACTATTTCTGCAGGAAGGACACAAAAGTAGACGAACCCACCCAATGGAACCTGCAGCCTCGGTTCCTGGGAAGGTGTGTGAGGCAGGATGGCTGAGCACGTGACAGCAGTTTCACCCTCAGCCCTTGAAATCTTGCTTCCCCTCCCCACGCTCAGACCCCTACTCCACTGAAGTCTGTTCTCTAGATGTTTGGCCAGATGCTGGAGTTCAAGACAGTGGGAGGTAGATCAACATTAAACTGAGTGTGCAAAACCACGGGAACTCTCACCATCTCCCTGCTACAAGAGCCCACCAGCCAAATTCATGCTGTAGTCTGAACAAACTTTCTACAATCCGTGCAGTTACCAACAGCTCACTGTGTTTTGACTGCATAGATGCTGCTTGTGGGAGTTGGAGGTAGGTTGCACGTAGGAGGAGCAGTTTTAGAAAAAGTTTGAATCTCTTCCCCACTAGATGACCTTATAAACTGCTTGTAGAAGAAGAATTCTACCTCAGTTAAGGCAGATTAGTTGATGGCATAGTTATTTGAAAGTCCTCCAGCCGTAGAGGGTGAGACCTCACTTCAAAAAGAGTACCTAAGTGCCTGGGGTGAGGACTGCTGACTTACAGCTGTCTAAGGTGCTGTGTTTCACCATTCTGTGTTCCGACCTGTGGTCACTGACTGTGGACAGGGGTCATGCATAGACCCTAGATGTCTGAATATAGACATATTGTACAACTCTAAGGTGCCGAATGCAACCATATTCAAGTTTGCTTAGGTGCCAAGTCTACCTTTGGTTACTGGGGTGCCCACGGTTGCATTGAAAGTCCAAATACAAGGCCAGCAACTCTGCCTGGTATTAAGTTGTGATTAACCCAGTCAGACAGTCGCATGTTGCCTGCTTTAGCACAAGGGTCCCTTAATATTGAGTATCAGTATTAGGCTGATAGGGTTACCGAGTAATTATGATATAGATGGTATGTTTTCCAGCAAAAGCAGTTTGAACGTCCAGGAAGTAGGAGTAGGAGACTCACTGGAGCCCTTTCAAGGTACCTCTGCCTTTAGGTTTCTTGCCTTAATACCTTTATCCCATTCTCCCCAAAGGCATCTGGTAGAGCTCAGATGCCAAGTTCATATCAGAATTGTGATAGGTTCAAAGCTGATCTTCAACTTTTCATACCTCATTGCATTCTAAGTACAACTGATGCTCAGAAGACATCCCCACTTTAGAGTATAAGAATGGCTGATATGGTTTTCTATTCTTGTGTTAGTTTGCTGAGAATGGTTTCCAGCTTCATCCATGTCCCTGCAAAGAACATGAGCTCATCCTTTTTCATGGCTGCATAGTATTCCATGGTGTATATGTGCCACATTTTCTTTATCCAGTCTATCATTGATGGGCATTTGGGTTGGTTCCAAGTCTTTGCTATTGTGAACAGTGCCATAACAAATGTGTGTATGTGTCTTCATAGAATGACTTATAATTCTTTGGGTATATACCCAATAATGGGATTGCTGGATCAAATGGTATTTCTAGTTCTAGATCCTTGAGGAATCACCACACTGTCTTCCACAATGGTTGAACTAATTTACACTCCCACCAACAGAGTAAAAGCATTCTTATTTCTCCACATCCTCTCCAGCATCTCTTGTTTCCTGACTTTTTAATGGTCACCATTCTAACTGGCGTGAGATGGCATCTCATTGTGGTTTTGATTTGCATTTCTCTGATGACCAGTGATGGGCATTTTTCATATCTGTATGTTCTCACTCATAAGTGGGGGTTAAACAATGAGAACACATGGACACAGAGGGGAACATCACATACCGGGGCCTATTGGGGGATGGGGGGTTGGGGGAGGGTAGCATTAGGAGAAATACCTAACGTAGATGAAGGGTTGATGGGTGCAAACTATGGTACATGTATACTTATGTAACAAACCTGCATATTCTGCACGTATACCCCAGAACTTAAAGAAAATACAGCTATATACAGTCAGGATACCTGGAAATCTAAATTTACTTGAAAGAAGAAATAGAAGTTTGAATCTTCACTGTCTACTTCTAAAAATGAAAGAAAATTTGGTAAAAAAAAAAAAATGGCTGATATGGTTTGGTTGTGTCCCCATCCCAATCTCATCTTGAATTGTAGGCTCCCATAATTCCTACATATTGTGGGAGGGACCTGGTGGGAGATAATTGAATCACAGGGGCAGTTTTCCCCCATATTGTTTTGGTGGTAGTGAATAAGACTTGAGATCCAATGGTTTTAAAAGGGGAAGCCCCTTTTGCTTGCCTCTCAATTCTCTTGCTGCCACCATATAAGAAGTGCCTTTTGCCTTCCACCATGATTGTGCTGCCTTCCCAGCCATGTGGAACTGAGTCCATTAAACCTCTTTATAAAAGACACACCTGAAACTGGGTAATTATCAGTATGAAAACAGACTAATACAATGGCCTAAGAAGTCAAGGTCACACAAAGGCAGAGATCAACTGGGTTTCAGTCTTTGTCCACATTTTTGACCAGGTGGAAAACAGCATCTCATCACCATAGAAATGACAGTCCCGTACATGGTAGGTGCTTTAGTGTTGAATGGACCAATAGCACTGGATACCAAGCATCTGTGTGACACTAGAGGCACACAGATGTGTCATCCTCAAAGGAATTTCAGACCAAGCTGCTACCCCATGGTAGGGGCCCTATGGGAGGTCTCTCAGATTAGATTGACATCTTGTTTTCTGGTCTTCACCAGTTCTCCCAAGGCTGTCCATCCTCCATCCCCCTCCTGTTCTGTTATCAGCCTCGGGTTGGGGGCTGATATTGGAAGGGCTCTGATAACACTCCTTAAGTGGCAGCAAGCTGTAAACATTCCCACTGATGCCATTTGATTAGCTGGCTGGGAAAATGCCTGAAGAAGGTCCTGGCTTGTCACTGAGAGACAGGCAAAGGTGTCACATGGAGCTGTTGAAAAGCAAGCAGGTTGGGGCCACCACTGTGGCATTATATAAAGCACTTGGCTCCAAGACAGACCTCTATAGCATCGCATGTGTGATCTGCCAGGGTGGCTGTGGGTTTATGGTTTTGGTACACATGCAACAGGAACATATTCATAGCCCAGATAAGTTAATGACCTATTAGTGGCAAGTGGGGATAGAGATAAAGCCGTTGTGTAGAAGCCTACCCCACATTCCAAAGCCACAAGCAATTTTGTTTAACACCCCAGTTATATCCTATTCAAATAACCTCCCTGTTAGAAGGTTGCAGTTTCTAAATACATGTCTATTGAAGGGAAGACAGAAGGGCTAGGGAACAAGGCTTAACCATTTTCTGGGCATGATCTTAGGATGTTAAACCCCTGGAGCTGGAAGATCAAAGAATAAGAATTCAGCCATCATTTGAACTATGAGTTCAGTTCAATTCATAGTTCAGATGATGGCTAGAGAAATATAAAGGTAGGACCGTATAAATGTTACATTTAGGTTTTTCTGCCTTCTATTAGAAAACAGTGCTTATCTAGACATTCTGCAAGGAACAATGGTTGGAAGTAGACTTGACATTTGTGTTTGATTTAGGAATTTAATAGTTCATGACGCATCGGTAGGCAGAAGGGATTGTGTAAGGACAATTAAGTTTAAAATGCCTGCCAACAAGACAACATTGAGGTTTGAGTGCTTCATATCTTGTCAAGATTCCAATTCCCTGGGCGATTCTCCCTGGTAACATTCTGCCTCTTAGAGTTAATGAGAGGGGAACCATTGGTGTGAAGGTATGTTTTTTGGAAAGCAATTTAACAGCTAGTAAGAACTATACCTGGCACTCTTAAAATCAGCACCCCACTCCTGAAAGTCTACCCCATATAGATATCCGTTCAAGGATTTGTGTAGTGAGGTTTATTCAATGGTTAGGGACTAAAACCCCCAAGAAAGTTTAGGTCAGGGAATGGGCATGTTACTTTAGACCATGACACACCATTGGAGTGACTGAGCTTAAGTTCATCCACTTAAGATTTGCACCCCTGCCCACCCAGACATTAGAAAATCCACCCAGGTATGTCGTCTACAAGGAACCCACTTTAAAGTCACAGATAAGTCCAGGAATGGGAGGACTCCTGACACTGATCAGGAGAGAGCTGGAGTAGCTGTGTTAGTGTCAGGCAAAGGTGACCGCAGAGCAGAGAATGGGGGATGTTACATAAGGGAACGATTGCTCTCCAAATAAATTTAAAACCATGTTTGTCAGATTCCTACTGAAGGCCCAAAAGCTCAGTGGGATAAGTATCCCGAGAGTTGATATAAGCTTTTGTTTCTTACAGCCGTCAGTGCTCATGAAGGGACAGCCTACTGTCCAATTCCTGGTGAAGTGGACAGTTTCACCCATAGGTCCAGCTTTGTACCAAACGTCTCTTGTGAAAACTGTCAGTCGGTACACAGGGCATCTTCTCAGAGCAAAAAAGCAAGTTAAGTAGAGAGAACTAAGGGCACGACATCCTTACCCATCCTTTGATAACAGGATTATAATCTAATCTGGGTACAGCCACTCCTTACACTTTCTTAGGGAGCAAGAGCCAGGGAGAACCTGGTGTTGCTCCAAAGTGAGCCTACATAAATTCTGTTCCATAACTTTAGATACGTCTTTGTACAGCAGGAGGTATAGGCCAGGAAATCCACCTACCAAATCCATTGCCTTCTGCTCATATTGGTTACAAGGCTACAGTCCCAGGTAGATAGGTTACCTTTGAAGGTCCTTAGAGTAGCTCCTAGAAGTGGGCTCTCAGGAGAGTCCCAGCTGTCAGCTCTAGCCTTGCTGGGCAATTTTTCTTAAATACAAGGGAAGTAGCACACTGAGAAACTTGCCACCACTGGAGACAGAAGTTACAGATTCTGGCCGGAGTATAAACAGAACGTTGAAACCTGGTGTTTCATGCCTAGTGTTTCATGCCTACTTTAAGCGTTTAGTATTTCTTAGAGGTCTTATGTCAGGGTGAAGTATGGTGTGTGTACAAGGATGTGTGTGTTTCTCACAGCACAGGCTGGACAGGGCTCAGTCTCATCCTCCGGCCAGCACTAGGAGCCAAACAATCAGGTTGTGCACCCGTGGCACACACCCAGCCTGCAGGAGTAGTGTCTGGGTTGGCCTGCATAAGGACTTTCAGAGACCTGAATAAGGATGCCAATGATAAAAAGGAGTCTAAGAATCTGGATTGTATTCCCCTCTAATAGAAGCTAGAGTATTCTGGCTACACAGTCTTTATTGTGGCCTCAGAGAGCTAGAACGGACTAGGGCTGTGCTACTGAATAAGACATGTTCCTTCCAAGCCACGCCCTACCTGGCATTCCTTAACCTGTCTCATATTTGGTTCTTAGGAGGGCTTAACACAGCTTAGTGTTTATGGCATACCACAGCTCCCAGAAATTGAGTATCAGATGATGTAACTGAACAATGAATCCCCTACCTTTAAAGCTAGGGTTGCTTTAATGAAGATTCTGGAAGAGTGACTAGCAGGTATAGTATGGTTGGCTTAGTGTGATGTAATTTGAGATCTGACACTCAGGCATGATGGAACCTTTTTTCCTCCAATAGGAGGAGTGTCTTATCTAGACTTAAAAGGTATATGGAAGAAGGTCTGTGCCTCCCTGTAACATTGGGCTACATCTGAAGTCTTTGTTCAGGAAGTCTTTGCTTGGTCTTTAGCCCACCCTTCTCCAAAAGGTAATTTTTGTAACTAGAACCATTCTATTTTTTTTTTTTCTAGCAGACATCTGTTCACCTAGATGGCTATTTTCAGCATACAATGTTGTGGTTGAAGTTATATTGAGCCACAAGATGCTCACAACCACCTCTGGCACTTGCTTATAGAAGCAGTGAACCTAACTCAGGCAACCTATTCCTGGTTTAGGGCCTCACGTTTATAATCAGTTACAACTTCAGGAAAGGATTCCAAGTTAACACTTTCCAAATATGGCAGCTGAGATCTGCCAGTTTAAAGCTCAGGAGACATCCTATTGGTTGGAAAGGACTTGGGAAGAAAAGTTCCTTTTGTTTAGTTCATATAGTCTAATACTGCTGTGCTAGAGAGCCCACTTGGTGAACTAGCCAAAGTGCCCACTCATTGCAGAACTCAGTCTAGTCAGGCAGTTTGTATACGTAAGATTGTTACTGGCAGTGATACTCTTGCTCCAGCCTTCAGAGAAGGGAGGTAAAAGTCACTTTAGCATGAACCTAGTGCTAACTCAGTCTTTACTTCTAGCTAGACTGTTTTGAGATTCAGGGGAAATAGTGTTAGTGCCTTTGCACTACTTAGAAAGCTAGAGTGCCAAGTAGGGTTCACAGTATTGAAAGTGGATCTTTATCACCACCCCTCATTGCTTCTCAGCTTCCCTTTCATTGGGTGGCAGTGCTCATTTGTTCTCCATCACTCCCATGAAATAGCTTGTTCTAAGGGTCATACTGCAACTCAGATCACCCTCAGGTTAGAGCCCACAAAAGCCACCCGATAGAAGTCAAACCTTATCCCAAACGTGGATGTGGTTTTACATGAGGCCTGCAGCTTTGCATGGACAGCAGCCTACGAAGCTCCATCCAGCTCAGAGGAGTCCTTTGATGCCCATCTCCAAGGGGGATGGAGATATGAACACAGACACAAACCTGATCTGTTCCTATTTGCTGGCCTCCGTATTCCCGCAGGAAGAGAGGGTAGAGAAGTAGTAGTTCCATGTAGAACACCAAGGCCCTGGCTAAAGGAAGGCTACCTTCACACTTCAGGGATGTGTAAAGAGGAACCTTTGAAATACCTGCTCCTGGATACTACACTGGACAACCACTGGCAAAGAGTTACAAAAGATGTAGTCCAGATATAAGGACTTCATTATACGTACAAGGCTATTCCTTGTTCAGGAGAGGCAGCTATATACATTTGCAGTGGAACATAGTTTGTCCTTTCTGGAAGAACATTTAGCAGCAGCTAGGACTCAATTACACCTAACACTCAAAGTCAGAAATCACAGTCCCGCAGATCTCATGATCATAAGAGCACTGGTTTGCAGAACACACAGGTAGTAGTATTTCAGGGTTTAGAGGCTATCCCCCCCAAAAATGCCAACTCTCCTTAATTTGGCAGGGGGTGAATTTAAGGACCATAACATTGAAGTGACTGAGCTGTATTCCATTAAGTTTTGGTCAATTTGATCTAGCTATATCAAGTGATATAGTGTTAGGTATAATTGAGTCCTATCAAGTAAAATATATATGTATGTGTGTATATATATATAGAGAGAGAGAGAGAGTGTTAGATCAGCATTAAGTAGGTCTATGAAAGTCAGACCACGTTTATGAGAAACCTGCTTTAAAGTTATGAATATAGAGAGCAATAGCATGTTGATACTAGTATAGCTACTCCAGCTTGCTTTTGATTCGTGTCAGGCAAAGCCAACTATAGGACAGATTTTCATAATGTCTGTTATCATTCCTGATAGAGGGGACAGTTCTCTAGGTAGAGAACATCCTGATGTTATGTACCTAATAAGCAAAACCTGGGATGAAGACAGCATTTTGAGAAATAGACAAAAGTCATCCATAGTTGGAGACTGTGGTCGCCCCCACCCCCGCCAACCCCAATTAGTAGTGGACAGAGCTAGCAGGCAACAAGTGATAGCTAGATCAGTAACAAGTCAGACTAATGAACGTTAGACCACTGTTTTAGGAACAGTGGTCTATGAAGGGATTTGGCAATTCAATCAGCAAATTGTTTGCCTGATGCTGGCAATGTCAGACCAGGAGGATGTTGGAAGAAAGATATCACCATTTCCCAAGAGACAAGACCAGAAAATGCCACGTTGTTGCTTGAGATTCTGGTTCCATCCCTGTCCATCATACAAGAAGGCGGCTCAATTTCTAAAGCTACCTCAAGAGATGACCCTTAAGATAAGATGCACGAAGAGGAAGGAGAAAACAGGTTGATGTTGGCAGTGAACTAGCTGAAGCAGATCTCTAAGACCTTAAACAGATTTGATGCAGTACATGAGGCCTTTGAAACCCTGACAAGCAACATTGAAAGACTCAGGATATTTGGAAGGTTGGAGTCTTCAAACCAGAGTATCATGTATGTATCTGAGTCATGCAACAGGTTCTTCCTGCTAGGAAGTTTTATACTGCATCGTTGGCAGTGGTATCAGACCCGCCAGTTAGCCTTGGCGCTAGCCATGCAAGCAGCCGATATTGCCATTGGCATCTATAATCCCTGGAGCAGCTGGTGATCACAGAGCAGTACCACCGCACTGAAACAGCTGCAAGCTACACCAGAGCTGCCAGCCCTCAAGTTCCCCATGCAGTTCCACTCTGAAGCAAGACCATGGACCCCTCCCTTCCACCCTCACCCCCAAACCCACGCACACTAAACCCCATTAAGAACACTTCATTCTACAACAGGATATTCTTCTAGAGCTCAAATAGAACATTCAACCTACACACCATGTTTGGGGTTATAGAAGAGCCAAGCTCAGAAGAGGCAGATTCATTGATCTTGTTGTATGACCATGTACACAGGCACATGAGAATTTGTTCCTACCTTCCCCACAACCACCGACCTGGAATATACTCAGTAACTTAAGACTTTGTGCCCAAAGTATCTGTTAGGTCTTCATGGTGAACCCGGAGCTGGAACACTTAGTCAGAGGGGCCTGATATATGGATTCACATAAGCCCAGCAATGGCTTAACCGAACAACTTCAGCTATAAGAGTAGAGCCTTGATTCCAAGCTTCTTATTCCTTAAATGAGACCATAGCTTAGCTTTCCAAGCTATACACCTTCCTTTTACAGATACTGATCATCCTGCCTATGCACAGGCCCTGGAAACTGAAACTGCCCAGACCCCCAGCTCTTGACTAGGCAGCCATGTTTTATCACATGACCAATATCCAGGGCCCAGGTGATTGGACTGAAGTGACCACCTGGCTCTCAAATAGCTCACCTATTGGATGACTGAGGACCTGGTAATGGAGGAAGGGGCTGGTCAAGTGGGAGGTGTATTTAAAGACAAGCCACACAGCCAGCAGGAAGAAAAGAAAAGCGTGTCTTGATATAGACTAAAGGTCAGAAGAGACCTCACCAGAACCTGGAAGACGCCAAGGAGCCAGGCCTTCAAGTTGTTTAATTCATTCCCACCAGGACCCTTTCAAGACAATCCCTGTACCTGGGGCCCTTGAGGGTGGCCCATGGACATAATTAAAGTTAAAATCACGTTTGTCAGATTCCTACTGAAGACTAGCAGGCTTCTGTAGTCCTCTGCCCACCTCCTAACTCATTTCTTTCAGCAGCTGCACAGCCAGCTCCCAGGAAGCCACAATAGTGGAGAGTCAAGCATGATGCACATTGTAGAGAGGAACAGGAAGCTCATGGGTAAACAAATTTGACTTCCATAATGACTGGAGCTCATGCTGCTAAGAGCCAAACAACTTCCCCAAACCAAGAGAGTCTCCATGCCGGCATTGCCGCAAACTAACGGAAACTGAGCATAGCTTGGTTTTCTTGACTTAGTCTTGATTCACCTTTAAAGTGGTGATGTAGTATGGACCCAAGGGTTATATAGTGTAGTGAGATTGGAACTATTGAGTTATCTAGAAGAGCTGAAGGTGTTTAAGTGTTTCAGATTCAAACTTCCATAGAACCTTGGCCATGTGGAAGATGCTACTTTGTTGTATATTCAGTTCCCTTTCAGGCTCCTTATGACTAAGCAGGATCTCAGTATCCCCAACTACCACCATAGTGCCCAAATGTAATAACTCAAGTATATGCGAAGAGGTACCTGCCGCTATAAGCCAAGGATGTTTAAAGTTACTGCAGTCTAAAAATCTTAAGCACATCAGATAGGCACAGAATGACTCCAGTCAGAAGTTCTGTGGATGAGGCATCAGTGACTTCAGACTCAAGGTCTGTCTGGACCTTAAGTAGTATCACCTGCCTGATTATGAGTAGCTGTCCTTGTGAGTCTTACAGGATGTTCATGACTGCATTTAGGTCTCACCATTTCAAGAGGTGGAGAAATGAGACTCTGGAGTCACAAAGCCACGATGGAAATATGGGAGTCTGACCACAGCTTGGACCCACCAAGGGCCCTAACATCTCAGTGGGAAGCCCACTGAGAAAACCTGAGTGAAGTGTTTCCCAATGTCAGTCTTTCTGTGGCAGGATTCTAGTGTTCCTTCCCAAGGTAGAAATCCAAAGCAGAAGTGATCACTCTCATGTCCCAGGCACTGATAGGAGCAAGGTAGTTCTGAATACATGCACATCATGGAAATTACACTGGAAGAGGCATTTAAGGATATGATCCACTGAAATAGGCCATTCAGGAAGTTCCCAAGACAGAAGTTAGCTAAAGAACTGATTCAGGAGTGCTCATCTCCTGCATCCACTGCCTTACATAAGCGAGGCTGAACTGAACCTGGAATAAGACATCATACTCAAGACTAGCTTTGTCACAAGGTCCCTTGTGGACTGTTGGGCAGTTTTCCTAAAAGGCATGTCCCTTAGAGCAGGAAAGGAAGCTGAATGAGGGGTAGAGACTAAGGATGTAAGGCAAGATCCCGTCTCATCTTTTGACAACCTGACAATATTGGAGTCTAGTTTCCTGAATGCAGCCACTCCTTGCAATTTCCTGTTGAGCAAGGAAACGTGGTTGGGAGACAGCAGTCTTGCTCCAAAGCAACCAGAAGATAGGTCAAGTCTTGCAGCTTTGAGTGTGAGTAGGCCAAACAAACCACTTGCCACCAAAACTATTGTCAACTGCCCATGCCAGCCATAAGGCCGCAGCCCCAGGTTGTCACAGAGACTTCCTCTGAAGACCCTCAGAGTAACTCCCTAGAAGTGAGCTCTTCAGGGCACGGAGCCCTAAAAGCAGTTTGGCTGCCACTTCATAGCCCAAGCTGCACCAGGCAGTTCACTTGAAGACATAGAAGCAGCACATTAAGCCAAAGTTGGGCTTGCTGGCACTGAAAACAAGTTGTAAGTTCTGTTTGGGGACTTAGACAAAATATTTAAGCTAACATTGTTTTATACCAGGCTTCATAATGAGGTCTTATGTTGTAGACAAGAATTTGCTGTCAAGTGCAGTGTGTATAGGGATGCAGATTCCAACAGAGGATTTTGCAGCTGGGCGGGGCTCTGACTGCTCCTCCGGCCAGCACTAGGAACCAGTGTCAGCAGGTTGGACACCCGTGGTACACATCCAGCAGGAATGTGTCTGGGTTAGTTTTCTGCATACAGATTCAGAAATCTGGATGAGGCTGCAGCTATTGTAGAAGGGAGTCTATAAAAATCTTAGTTCTTGCTCCCAAGAAGCTAGGGCAGCCCAGCTACATGGGGTCTGCACTCTGGCCTCTGCTGGAGTACACAAGGGCTGTTCTACGAACAGGACATGTTGCTTCTGGCCAAACCCTGCCCGGTATCCCTTACTTATGGGATTTGGTCCTAGAAGGGCTTATGCTTGAGATCCCAAAGCAAACTTAGTTTATAGCATGACACAGGTTCCAGAAAAATGGGGTTAAATCAGTATAACTGAACAATGTAGCCTCTGCTCTAAAGCTAGGCTTGCTTTAATGAAGAAGGCTGGAAGAATAGCCTCCTATGGGTGTAGAATATTTGGCTGAGTCAAGGTCTTGAGATATGACAGTTCAGAGTCCTATCATGATATGGGAACTCTGCCTGGATATAATATGGGACTATAAGTATTTAGGAGTCTTAGACGTAAGCTAACTTTCATCCACCCTTCTTGTAAGGCATAACTAGAGCTACTCTGGGTTTCCTGTGAGCATCTCTACTTCCATCTAGAGAGCTATTTTCATTCAGTATACAATCCTGTGGGGCTAGAGGTGGTACTCCAAGCCACAAATGAAGCTTTTGGTAGTAGCCTCCAACACTTACAGATGTGAGACCCTATCCTAGGAACAGAGATGAGGTCTGCATATTTACTTTGTGAGCATCAGTTGTTACATGATGGTAACATCCCCTTAAGTAGCATTTCAAAATAAAGGTAGCCAAGAAATCTCATGCCACCTTAAGGCTCAGAAGTATGGAGATTTCCCTCTTAGGAAAGGGGCAACTGGGGAAGAGTGGCTTGTGTTCAAGTTCAGACAATGCCTGGTACCTGCTCTGTGCTGGCCCAGGTAGGATTGAGTGGTCAACAGAAGTCTCCACCCCTTGTGGAACTCAATCTAGTTAGAAACAGTCACATTTACAAGATTGTTAGGGGACTATGATACGTGATACTCTGATTTGTTAAAAGGTGGAGAATTGAGCTATGTAGCTCAGATAGCCTGAGCTTAGTACTAGCTCAGTCTTCACTTCTGGCTGCAAGATACCACACCTTTTGAGATTCAGGGAGGGGAGAGTTTTAGCAGCACATAGTATCTGTTAGTGCCTTTATACTACTAGAAGGTTAGGTGCCAAGTGGGGCTCAGAAGCAGACCTTGATTAGCGTCTCCCCTATCCATTTTGTCAAGGGGCAGGATTTGTGTTCTTCGAACATTCCTGGTAAGGTTTTTAAACCAAGAACAGCATTGATACAAGTCCCTTAAGGTCAAAGCCCACACCCCATGCAACTGTAAGTCAGCCTCAAGTTGAGAATGTTTGCTCTGAGGCAACTAGCTTTGCATGGAAGACTCCCTGCCCGTCTCCATCTCAAGAGTCCTTTGAGTCCCATTTCCAAGCATGAGATTCAGGAACACCTGCACAACACAAAAGCCTGTTTGCTGGTCTCCATTTCCCTACAGGAAGGGGGTAGTGAGAAGTTGTTCCATTTAGAACACTGAGGCCCTGGCTAAGACTCCTTGTTCCAGGGATGGACAGAGAAACATGAAATGCCTGCTCCACAATGCTATGTTGAACAACCAGAGGAAGTTATAGGATCTCACAGGTAAGAACTATCACACATAAAGGAACTTGCTGTGCCTTGTTCATAAGAGTTTATGCATTCACAGTGGGGGATGAATTATCCTTTTTGGAAAGCAGTTTGGCCAACAGCTAGTAAGACTTAGTTATATCTAAACACTCTTGAAATCCAGCAGCCCCAGTTCTGGAAATCTATGCCATAGTAATGGGAGCACCAGCTTGAAGACCTACAGGCAACAGTGCTTATTCAGCAGTGGGTTTAGGGGCCAAAAACCAAGGGAATAAACAGCTTTTGGTCTGGGGGTAGGTGTGTTATAGGCCATTACAAGCCATTGAAATGACTAAGCTAGTCTGTTGACTTGTTTCAGACTATTAGAACTGGACTGAGAAATCCACTTAAATATGAAGTCAGTTTAGAAGGGAGAAAGGTGTGACATGTTCAATCAAAAGAAACCTGGAGCTGACTAGAGCAGAGAAAGTTGTCATGAATGATAGTGAGCATTACATGCAAGGACAGTCCAAGAAGTTGTCTTTGTACCTAAGAGCATCAAGATGAAATGTGAACTGATAAGACAAATCCACTCCTGTAGTTGAGGATGTCAACACCATCAGTAATGGGCAGAACCAGAAGGCATGGACATAACTGATCAGTCAACTGGGCTTTGTGACCACTTATACAATAGTTTGTTCCTGTTGAAATAAAGATGTTCACTCCACTGAACAGTCACCAAGACCGACCATGTTTTGGAAATAGGAAAGCCAAGCCCAGAGAAAGCAGATCCCTGTCACTTGCACTTTTAAGAAAAACTGAAGTTTTGTCCACCTTCCCTATACATACCTCCAAAGAGGGTAGCCTGAGACTGTCCATGTAAAGCACCTCTTAAGTGTTCATTTTGGGTTCACGATTTGTGAAGATCTATTTCGGGGTGAGAGGTGAGGATCCGTGCATTCATCTGGGCCCACCCATGACCTGAGACAGGGGCAGGCAGGCATTTCTAGCTACAAGACTGAAGCCTTGCTCCTGAGTCATACTTTAGATGCTGGGGACAGTCATCCTGAGATTGTCTCTTCCTGGACCATACATTACTACTATTTTTTTTTTTTTTTTTTTTTTTTTTTTAAAGGTACTAGGATAAGCATCTCCCTGCCTACCCATCGTCCCTGGGCACAAACTGCCCAGACCCCTGTTCCCAGTTAGGCCATGTTGTCATGCCTCACAATCACTATTCAGGACCAGCTGATTGGGCTGAGGTGACCACCTGACCCTGGAGCAGGTAGCTTACTGGCTGACTGCTGAGGACCTGGAAGAGGAGGAGCTGGGTCAAGCTGGAGGTGTATTTAAGGACAAAACCACACAGCAAGGAGGACAGAAGTGGAAAGCTTCTTTTGCTATAGAACAGAGGTCAGAAGAGACTTGACCAGAGCCTGGAAGCCTCCAAGAAGCCAGGCCTTCAAAGCTGCTTCAGTTCGATTCAATTCCACCAGGACCTTTAAGACAATTCCTTCTACCTGGGTCCCTTGAGGAAGCACATAAACAGGAAGTACACAGTAGGAGGATTCTGTAGACCGGTACCCATGACTCACTTCCCTCAGCTACACAGCAGGCTCCCAGGAGTGTGGAGTACATAGCTGCCTTCCATCCTGGTCAACAGGGTGATGAGTCCATCCTGACTCATACTGTGGAGGACAAGCACATGAAGCACATAACTAAGCAGTCAAGCTAGGTTTTACGGTGACTCGAGTCTATATGGCCATTCAGGAGATGCCACTTGTGTTCAGTTTCCTTTCTGGCTGTGGCTTATAGAAAAGCATCCTATTTTTCCCCAATATCACCCCACCTACCACCACCTTAGTGCCCAGCTATAACTTGAGCATATAGCAATGAGTATCTGCCTCTATGTACCATGAACATCTTCATCCCACTTCAGGAAAGATGGAATAACCTTATGACAGACCCCATCACACAGGTTTTTTCCACATGTGTGCACGATATAGGACGTTCCACTTTGTTTCCATGATGTATGCTGTTATATAGCATATTCTTTGCTTCCGAGTTATGACCCAGTACTCACGCAGTAGTACTTGCTTCTTGCTCCCACTAACACACGAGTCGTTCTCCCCTGTGTGGCACCAGGGGCTAAGTCAAACATTAGCCCAATAAATATTGTTGGGGCCAGATGAAGTCATTGCCCTGAAGTTCATGGACCTGTGTCTAGAAACAGGTTCAGAAAACCCCAGGCCAACCATGTGTATCCCACAAACTAGAAAACCAGCAGGCTAGACTCCTTCAACTGAAGGCTAGAAGTCCTCCAGGATGATTAGGCTTCATGTTCTTCCCATTGTGATGGCCCTTCAGGGAGTTGCCAGATACTAGAGGTACTTCACTTTCTGAGTCCAGTTACTCACTACCCTCAGTTCTCAGTTGTAGGTTGAAGGTTTCCTCTACCCTCTGAAGAATATGTAGAGTAAGTGCCCCAAGGGTGGAAGCATGCACCCCAGGAGTTGACGGTGGATTTTTTTTTGTGGGTGGGATAGGCATGGTCAAGTTGTTTTACTGAAGATCATAACTTCAGGCAGGGTCAGACATTAAGTTCAAGACATTGTTGTCCAAGACATTCTTATATGCCCACTTCATTTTTCCTTCATAAGGGCTATCACTACCTGACATCGTGTGTTCATCCAGAACATTTCATGCAAGCAGGGACACTCCCACACTGCATCCTCAGCACAAAGAATCTCTGTAGCATGGCAGGCATTCAGCGATCTGTTGGAAGGATTACTCTACTACATTCCTAGGCTAAGAAATTTGTTTTCATATCCTGTTTTAAGATGTCTTGGACTAGCAGCCTCACATCTTGAGGGCTTAAAAGTTAGGCTTCAGTAGATTTGAAGCCATCCCCCTGATTCCATAGTTCCTCACCTCAGGCTCTGTAGTCCCAAGTTGAGATGTGAGCTTGGATTTAAATACAGTATGTGGAAGGAGGCCATCGAGCAAGCAGTACCCAGAGGGCTGGGGGCTTGGTCATCATTGCCTTTGGCAGCAGTTTGTCATTGCTGGATCACTGGAGGGCTAGCACGAGCCTGGGATGGGCTTTGATGTTCTGGTTTCAGGAGCATCTGTGCAGTCACCCACAGGTCACCTGTTAGCCGGAGGAGTTCAGTATCCCTGAAGGGCTGAAAGATGAAAGCTGGGAGAGTTACAAGGATGAAGACAGAGACCCCCTGGAAAGAGTTAAAGGTTACTCAGCCTTAGGGGAAGATTTGCCCCGTTCGAGACCCTGACAGCCGCCAATTGCTACACTACACCATCCCCGAAACCCCTAAGGTAGGCAGTTATTCATTGCTTTTGTGAAAGGTTAAGAGACTCACACAAACACAGCTGTTGGCAACAAAACCCAGACTAAAACATCCCTGAAGGCGAGACAAGGTTTCCTCACAAAACCTCACATTGAAAGACTAGGAAGACACTGGTCTCACATTTAGAAGTTGTGCAGCTTCGCTCCAAAAACTGATGCATGAGCCCAAGACAATCTCATCTTGGAGGTCTTTGACTTTGCCATCTCCAACCTCATAACCACATTGAGCTTAGGTAAGGATAGGGACTTCCAGAGCCTGGCCTCTTTACTCTCACCCAAGGGAGGTTCAGGGAAAGACAAGTTACCAGGCTGAGCCAGCTATTGTTTCAGAGCATAGAGCACTACTGTTCCAGCAGTGTAGAATGTTGAAAACAGACTTGTTACAACCCATCCTCTTGACTCCCTAGGGAATACCAAGTGTTTGCTATATTGCAATCAACTGCTAGTAGCTGCCAGGAATATGGAGAACTCCAGATCCATGTAGAAGCTCACTATAAGCCAAGTTCCGTGATGGATTAGCAATGTCTACCACTGGTGCAGGGAGGAATGGTGGCAGGACTTGCCATGCAGTGAGCAATTCTCACTCCATTTTCAATAGGAAAGGGAGGGCTCAGGACTGTCAGGATTGGTTTCCTTGCCCTTGATGTGGCACTGCCCTGGTCCCTACAATTCTACAAGAACATAAAGGGGGGGGGAAAAGAGTAGGTAATCCTAGCAAACATTTGGAGACAACAGCCCAGGAGCTACTTCCCTCTCGAGGGTAGAAGGTAGTGAGGTCTCAGTGTACCACTATAAAGGACACTCGAGTTCTTGGGTGGTGAGTACAAAGCTGGCACAAGGACTCCTTCTGACCTAGAGGGGGCAGCACTCACCCATCATAGGGATTTTTCCATGCGAAGTTAAGATCTCAGGAGGAATCCTTTTGCGCCTTCTTACAAGGGGCATTCGAGAGTTCTTCTCCCACCACAGCCAGGAAGTCGTGTCAGGAGAGGTCTAGTTCATTATCGCCTATAAGTATAAGTTGTGAGTGATGACAGCATTAGTAGCAGAGCTAGTTTAAGTGAGACTTAGGTATGCTTTGGACATTATACAAGCTGGAAGGATGCAGCTTTTAGTCTTAGGCAGCCTTCTTAATTTGGGATATGTAGAGTTCATGTCTTAAAAGCTGCGTCTATGCAGAGAAATTATCTGGTAGAACATACTTAAGTCCCTGAAGATGAGACTCAGCCCCAGAGCTCCAGAATCTCATGTTCCAGCTACAGGTGCTGGGGTCAGTGAGAGCCAACATCTCTGTCCTCAGGGAGGCTAGCAGGGGATGCCATAAGTGGTAGAGCAGCATCCGCACAGGTGTGGCCCAAGGCATACCCTATGTGGGTATGCCTCATATAACCCTTCGAGTGGGCAGACCTTGTGCATGAGATCATGCATATGATTGTTCTGTTATAGGACAAGATTGTCCTGGGTGGGCCTGACACAGTCACACAAGCCCTTTAAAGGGAAGTCAGACTCAAAGCCTAGAAGGATTCGACACAGTTGCTGGCTTGAAAGTGGAGCTACATAGCAAAGGATGCGGGAAGCCCTTCGGAGGAAAGCAGCCCGCAGTTGACAGCCACAAAGATACTGCAGTCCTACACTCTAAGAACTCAAGTTATACCAACAAGAATGAGCTTGGAAGCTGACACATCCCCTAGAGCCTTCAGATGAGAATGTAGCCCAGCTAACACCTTGATTTCAGCCTTGGGATACCAGAACAGTCTCAGTCACTGCCTGGATGACTGGCCTACAGAGCTGAGCTGCTGTTTTATGCTGCTAAGTTTGTGTTATGCAGCAATAGAAAACAGGCTATTTGTATTAGTTATGTCTGTTATGTCTGTGCTTTGTCATAGCTTAAGCACTGCAGGGAGACTGAGCTTGGTTGTGGGGATTTTTGGCAGCCTTTCAGGTAATACCTTTGAGATGGTGCAATTTTGTCTACTATTCTGTTGCAGATAAAGGCAGAGGCTTGAAATGATTCTTAGTGAGTCTTACTAGACCAGGAACAAATTGGGTTGATTCATCTAGCTGAGGCTGGAAGTTGTCAGTATAGTTTTAGAAGGCCCTCGGGCATTAGGATGTGTTACCATCATTGAGGTCTGTACCATTTGGACTGTAGAGAGGACTTCTTGGGATAAGATACTTCTAAGCTGGCATCTCCCCTGTGAGTGAAGCTCACCCCCCAGAGGCCAACGCCTAAGGCATGAATTTGAATCTCAGTCTACATTTAGGACTAGTTCCCTTAGGAGGGATGTCAATCAAGAAGAACACCCAATATTGTGGGATCTACATTTGAGCATCCACTGTGGGCCAGGAGCCTGAAGTTAGTTCACTATTAAGGTTATTAGAGATAGAGAAAGATACTTGGAGACAAGAGCTTGTCTGGTACACGCAGCTCTTTGTTGTGTCTTGGATTTAATAGGAATCAAGAGCCCTTTTGTGAGGGTGGAGCAAGACAAATAGACTTTGAAAGTCCAGAACTGGGGCAAGCTGCCTTTGAGAACAGCAGCAGCTAACATCTGACTCACAGCAGACTAAGCCAGCCAAGACCTCTTGACTAAAAGCTTAGAATTTTAGCATTGTCTTCAGCCTAGACTAACCCTAGCTAAGTTTGCTAAGGACTGGATTTGGACTGAGAAGTTTGACTCCTACAGATGCATGTGAGCTTAAGGAGTCTATGCTCTGCCAAGAGCATACTTCCGTTTTACAGTGGTGTTGCTGACAGGCATACTCTTGCTTCACCCGAGGGTCAACCCCGAGTTTCTCCCCTCCATTCTAGGTTATATTCCAGGATGTTGTGCTTGGCCACCTTGCTTTCATCAGTGGCCTGTCAGCACAGCAGGAACCCAGAGGGCCTACCTTCAATATTCAGCCTACCTGGAGAGACAGAACCACACCACACGATCTTGAGGCTTATTCCATGGTGGTTATTGAAGGGATGTCTTCTCATCCGGTGTTCTGAACACTTTTTCAAGACCACAGCTTCTGACCCTTGCCCTCTTCTACAGCTCACTTGAGCTCTAGGACAGCTGTCTCTCCTTGCACAGGCTCTGTACTACCTGCCCCGCAGGTCTATGCACAGGGTATTCCCTCTGCTTAGAGGGCTTTCCAACCCACTTGGCTTCCTGGGATATGAGAGTGCAGTGAGCCCTCAGCTAAGGGAGGTCAGGGGATTGTGGGAGTCCATAGGAGACTACCTATAAAAGGTTTCCCAGGGAGGGTAATCCACTGCCTTTTGAAAGGCTTATATAGTCTGACTTCTCTACTTACCCCCTAACAATTAGGTCAGGCTCCTGGGCCTGGAACTGAGCACATACCCTGTGCCGGTTACGTTCTGAAAGGATAAGAGAAAGCAGGCATTTTAAGAAAGGCTTGCAGTGAGGAGATGTTGTATATCAAGGCTCAGATGAAGGGGCCAGGAGGTGAAGCCCTAGAAGAAAGCTGGAGTGGATTTTGTCCTGTGGGCTGCTTCTCCCGAAACCCAGGTGCACATGGCTTTTGTATCTTCTCTACTGGACAGTCACTTCAATTTCTAGAAGACACTTCATTGTGTGGACAGCCACCCCATCCTTCCTTGTTCTCAATCAATGCCATGCCAGAACTCAGCCTTAAGAGCATGCATTATTTATCTCTAATGGGAATAGTTATTCACAGCATTAATCAATTAATGTAGATATTTCATCAGGGCTCTGAGTAGCAGGGAAAGGGAGGACCTGAAGATTCGGGGCAATCATTGCTAATTCAAGAGCTAGGGCTGACCACGCTAGCTCAAAACTTTGAGCAAGAAATTTCCCCTAGACAGGCCTCAGTTTCCCCTATTTGTATAAAGAAGGGTATGTCCAAAGGGTATGGCTAAATGACTCAAGGACCCCCAGCACTCATCTTTATAACTATTAAAGGGACCTGAAGAGGAAGTTAGACTTCCCAGGAATAGGTGGCCAACACAGCTGAAGCAACTTTAGCTTAGACACCTCCAGGAGTTTTGGGAAATTTTTTTTGGGAGGTGGGGGGGACGGTGCTAAGTGACTCATACACCCAGAGGCAGCTAAGTTTGCTTGCCATGATCAGCAGCTCAGCTTCTTAGACCTCCCTGCCTAGGGTAAGGGTTGATTCTCACTTTCGATGTAAGTAACGCATACTCATGACTCAAGTCAAATAGGAGAAATGCAAAGCCTGCAAAAGCTCGACTTTTTATCTACTTGCGACTTGCCTGGTTTTGGATCTTAGGATCATTTGATTCGGTCTATGACTTGTTTCACTGAGCTGAACCATAAGCTTGACTCTACACCCAGTCATTATTTAGATTTTAGTTTTGCCTTATAAGCCTTTACTCGGGGCTTTAAGTATCTATGGGGTAAATGTTTCAGTTACTGGCTTTGCTTTCCAACTCCTGTGAATACCCTTAACTCATCTCCAAGGACCACTGTACTATTGGAAACCTCATGTGATCTATGGACATCCTGTGTGTCAGTTTCCTCTTGCCTGCTGCAGGAGCTAAGTGTTACTTGAGATCTGACCTGTGTCAAAGTTACATGACTAGTCAGAGGTTCAGCCCCAGCAGCATCAAGTTCTACAGCTTGTTCATGTCACTTACATGTTCTCCTACCCTAGGCTTCTGTTTCAGTTGATGCTGCCACTATCTGCTTAGCCCAGAATTAGGATTTGGCATTTTCTTCTTGTCCCCTCATCCAATGTCTAGTCCTTCAAATCCTGTTACCTCTTCAAGGGAGAAATCTACTTTTGTCTCATCCTTACTGATCAAAGTCCCATCTCACCTGGGAAATGAATAGCTTCCTAACCAATACCTCATCTTACTCCCTGAAGTCCATTCAGAGCTACAGTGATTGAGGGAAAGCAACGTGCCACTTTTGGGATAAAGCTTATTGTTTTGTCCTTAATAAGGAACTATAGAGCTTAGCCTCTCTGCACCCTCAGCCTCTAAGCACACACTGCCCTCATACACACACTATGCTCTAGTCATTTGTCCCAGGCTCATTCCTGCCTTGGGACCTTTGCACTAGCTGTTCTACTTTGGATGCTTTCCTGAGATCTTTGCAGAATCCATTATAGTTCAGACATTTGTTTAGATGCTACTTTTCAGAGGTCTTCCTGGACTCCCAAGTCTGAAGTTACAGTAAACCCTATGCTGTGTTCAGGCTTAAGAGCATGAGTTAGATAGGATGAAGTTCTACGCCGGGGTATATGGTTCAAATTTACAAAATGAATGCACTAAGTGTTAGAAAGCCTCAGGCATGTGAGAGGGAGATCCCCCGGGGAATCCTCTAGATTAAAGATATCACCTAGACAGATCACATTTCAGGATGGCTAGGATACTTCCTAAAAGCATTTGAAGACTTTTGCTTATTACTGAAAATGCATAGATGTAGAGACTCGTCTCCCACAGGGTACTTTAAGTCAAATGCAAATGGCTAGGACTAGAGGTGGTCTTGAGCTTGAGTCCAGGTTTACAGAGAGTTTGTCTATTCTTTATGCTTGTTCTTGGGTTAGTGTCTGGTACATAGCAACACTGACCTATCCCTCTTGTTTAGCCCCAGAAACCATTTTAGGTGACTTCAGACTGGTTTCAGAAATGACTTAGTCTGACTTGGGTCAAAGCAGAAGAACTTGAAGTTAGAGATCAGTGCCTGGAACAGGCCCGCTGTCCTTCAGCACAATGTTGTCTCTAGTAGGAACTGAGATGTTAGTCTTTGCCGTGTTCACCATGTTACCACTGGAAGTTTTGCACCAAGAACTCCACTTTCTCAAGTGAGGCTTCCTCTGACTTGATACTTCCCCCTGGAATTCAACTGTCACTCAGGAAGTGACATGAAAGCCTTCAAGGCTGTGACAGCATCACACTGGTCAGCCTGATCAACCTATTTATAACAAGGCCATGGAAGGCAAACAGCCTTTCTCTACCGGGAACCCAGTGAGCTGAAGTTGTGCCTGACACTTTGTAAGTGGAACAAGGCCAGAGCCATCGAGCCTAGTAAAGCAAGACTGAAGTCAGTTTACCTGGGGTAGGAAGAGGAAGAGGGAGCATCAGTTGAGAAGTGGAGACATAACTAGCAGGTTAGAATGTGAAGAGGTGGCAGCCAAGTCCCCATGTCAGAATCTAAGGGCACTAGGAGCGACTGATAAACCTGTTTCACATACGAAGATGGTAGAGGCATGAAGAGACCTAACTGTCAGTTGTAGTTGCCATTCTGCCTAGGTCAGTGGGCTCAATTTGGAAAGATGCCCCTGAGGTGGCTGAGCAAGTCAGGTGTGGGTTCACACTTGACCCAAGGCAGGTGGGCCCCATCCGAACCTTGTTTTCCCTCATGAGTTAGAGATCTGTTGATAATGCAAGCCCAAATGGGGAAGATCCAGGTTTATGTGGGGCCTGCACTAGTTTTAAGCCATAAGAATGAACCGAGTTCAGAGGCTTAGAGCCAAGTCTAAGCTTCAACTTGATGTATTGATCAGTGCCTCACACATGATTCAGGTGGGATCACATTGTCAACAGCATTTCAGGAGGGGAAGGGTCACAGAGCTGTGAAGTTACTGACAGCATTACTACTGATGCGCATATTGGGCTGACACCCATTGCAGTTGTAGGAGTCATTTTTGTGAAGTGAGACAGTCCTATCAGAGCAAAGAACATGGGTACTATAGACAGCTGTCAAGGAGGTGGCAATAACATTAGTATATGACGTGTTTGCAGTTTTGATGATGAGATCTTTAGCGTAAAATCCTGTGAGGAAGATACCTTACCATCCTTTCACATGAAAGAGATCAGAGATGACAGGTCACCATCAAAGGGAAGGCCAGGCCAGCCCACCTGCCTTCCCATTTCTGCTTTATGTCCACCCCAAGAGCTACCTGTTTTAATTTAAGCTTATTTAACTCCTTTAGGGAAAGCAGGATTTCTCTGCATCATCTAGAATTGGGTCAGAGACCAATGCAGCTCTAGGGGCCACACACCCTCAGGTACCCCACTGTCTGCCTGTATGGCAGCAACAGCTTAAGCATACCCTGAGAATGACCCTGTATGGCACACACAACAGCAATAACTTAAGCACGCCCTGAGAATGGCCCTATGTCAGAGTATGTTTCAAGTTCCCAGCTAAGGAATGCAGGAGTGGCCAGCCCGGAGATCTATTCCTTGTCTGAGGAACACCTGAACCCCTGGGCCATCCTACGGACACAGGCCATACAGGGGGATTGGGGCACTGAGGGTTGGGTTAAATGAAGGCTACCAGGTGGAGGTTAGGGGAAGGTGATGAGGAAGCTGTATGAACTGCACGCTTTTTATTTTAAGACAGAGTCTCGCTCTGTCTCCCCAGGCTGGAGTGCAGTGGCACAATCTCAGCTCACTGCAACCTCCACTCCCAGGTTCAGATGATTCTCCTGCCTCAGCCTCTTGAGTAGCTGGGAATACAGGCACCCCACCACCATGCCCGGCTAATTTTTGTATTTCTAGTAGAGATGGGGTTTCCCCACGTTGGTCAGGCTGGTCTTGAACTCCTGACCTCGTGGATCCGCCCACCTCAGCCTCCCAAAGTGCTGGGATTACAGGTGTGAGCTACCGCACCTGGCCAACTGCATGCTTTTAAAGAGACCAGATGCAGTTGTCAGGTCTATTGCCACTTGACTGCTCCGCAGTTCCCTTGAGTAAACAGTCTTGTTCACTAGAGCTCCGAGTCTCTTCAGCCTCTTGAAGACAATGCCATCCCTTGTTGAAGTCAATAGGGATCTGGTGTGACACTGCCTTTGGGCATAGGTATTTCCCTCCCCAATAAGTAGGAGGCTCTCCTGTAACTATAGCCTAGTCCCCCACCACAGCTTCAGTAGCAATGATCCATGAGATCTTTCTACTCTGAAACTCAGTTCCCAGCTCAAAGTGAGAATCATTTAGCCAGTTACATATCAAGTGTAACAGGAAGTGAGGTATACACACCAAACCATGTCATCTCTCAGCAGGCCCCCACCAGAGCCATGAGTCTCCTCAGTCCAGTCAGCTGTGGCCAAGGTCATATCCTATGCCAGTTCAGCCTGCTTAAAGTTAAGGCTGAGTGGTAGTTCCGTCCAGTGCCACCAGCAGGTCCAACAGGGTGCAACTAAAGTGTAAGTTGGAGTTCCAGAAAGCACTGAGTGTCTCAAGGAATCAGATCATTGAGATCATAGGCCTTCCCCAGGTGAGTGCAGGAATGACAAGTTTGGGTCTGCTTAGCAGCCCATTCCAGTGGTGGTGAGATGACAACTGAGCACCAGAGTTCTTGGTCTTGCCCTCTCCCTATATATGGGCAGCCACCATTCTTGGGCCCAAAGCTTAACATCCTTAGGGCTGCCACTTGCCAAGTCTCACGATTAGCCAAGTTTTAGCCACTATATGCGCTTTGCCCTAACTGATGGAGCAATCCCTCCTCTTAAACCTCAGTCTAGTGGAAGAGAGGGAAGGATTGTTAGAAACTAAGGTTAAGTCAGCATGCATAGCAGACACATGGCAGAGGCTGACCTTCTGCCCTTTGATTTCAGATGCCGATAGAACAGGCAGGGAAGGGATGGCATCTTCACTCAAGTACAGCCTTGCTTTCTGCCCAAAGGTGCATCTCAAACACATGCGTACCTTGTAAGTTTAGCCCCAGAGTCAATCCAACTAGTGAAGATGAGAGCCAGTGAATTGAGGCAGGAGAATGGGAATTAGGGTAACCAAGGGTTAAGGCATGAGACAGGCAGGTGCAGCCAGTTGTAGACAAGGTTAGGCAGCACACAGGCCATGTCCTCACTCTTGAGATAGCCACTTCAGCCTTGGATTGGCCATGGGCCAATCCTTCATAGCATGTAACCAAGTTAGAGGCCTCTAAAGGTCACCCTAGGGGTGTTAAGGTTTGTAGCTTAAACACCCTGAATAACATTGGGTGTCTTGAGCTGCTTCCTAGAGCCCTTTCCTACTCTAAGAGTGTACACTTTCATTTCAGTAGATCTGCACTGTTTTGCCATTCTTTTGCTTTATTTGTACATTTTGTTCAATGCTTTGATGTGCCAAGAACATGGACAATCGGTAAAGACTTTCCATCCAGTAACGTTTTGGTGAGCCAGCAGGAGGTAAGCTCAGTTGTCTGGGGTTGTTTCCTTTTATCTTTGTCAAAGCTGCCATTTGCAGGCATGGGTCAGGCAGTTAAAAGCCACAACACCACCCACCAACTCAGTCTCCCATGACAGCTCAGTTATGGACCAAGACATCTAGGTCCTGCCAGGCACAAGAGGCATCTATGCAACAGTCAGGTTTGTGCGTGGTGTCCAAGATTTGATCACCTAACTTCTATCCTTGCCTTGTTGGTGCTTTGTGGGGACGAGGGAATGAAATTGCTGCATTTGAGAGCCCTATTACACCATCTGCATGCCCCTTGTTTATACTAGGAAAATGCAGAGAAAGACAAACTTAAAGACCCCACATCTTCGTTCTTACCTTTTTCTGTCTAGACCCCAGAGTAAGTTAACAGCCACAGGGATTCATACCTTCTCTGGCCTCTCTGGTTATGAGAAGTACTAACCTTAAAGTTTTGGGCTAGAATGCAGGAAGATATGGCCTGTCTAAATTGGTGGGATACTAAAAGCTTGGGATTATATCCAGGAACAAATGGGAAGGTCATAGGCTACCTATGAAGGGAAAACAAAGTGGTACCAGTGCCCACCTAAGGTCAGATGTCTGACACCAAGACTGAACCCTGAAGGGGGACACCCCTGGGGATCCAGTGCTAACTCCAAGACTTCCCCACCACAACACCCTAGGTGGAAGCTTTGGGTCAACAAATAAGCCCTCCTTAGGATCTCTTTTCCAGACTACTATGGGAAACACTGTTCTGATTCTCCAACTCAGCTGCATCTTTGGCCATTAGAATCAATTATGACCTTGATAATCAGAGGAAACATTCAATTTTTATTGTAAAGCTGTTTGGCCACAATACCAGCTAGACAGGAGCAGTGGCCAGAAAAATGGAAGGCTTAATCACAGGGTAGATGGTCAGGAATACTATGTGTTCAAGCCTTTATGGTTTTGTATCAGAATCCTTCGATCTGCAGAAGTCCCAATATTGGCCCTCAAAAAGAAAGTCCTAAGATTGAGCCAGACATTGATGACCCCTCCTACAAGGGCCACTCATCTCTCAGGGGTAACTATGGCCGCCCCCACATAACTGCTTGCCAAGTGCTCCAATCATGCAAGGCCAGAGGGACAAATTACACTGAACCCAACACACCCAGAGTAGAATACCCTACTCAGCAGCTCCCCTGGCACTAAGAGGTTGTGAAAGTACTGGGGATGCTGGCAAGTTTGTTGATGGGTTCCAGTCTTTGGCTCTAGCTTTTGCTTTATCATGGAGATGTCCAATTCATTTTGGCAACCTGGTGCACCCCTATGGAAAAAGAATGAGGCTGCCTGCTGCAAGGCAGATGGCATGTCTGCCTGAAATCCCCAGGGCAGTCACCCGGGGCCCAGACATGGTGCCGACCAACAACTCTAATTGAGATGATATCCCTGTGGAAATGAACAGGTGAGCAAAGTTTGAGGCACTCCCTTGGAGAAATAGAAAAAAAAATAAACAAGGCCCTAAGTTATAAGGTCCCGGAAATTATACAAGGGAAGGAAGAAAACCCAGCTATGTTTTATGGGAGATACATGAGGCCATCAGAAAACATGCAATTCTAGACCCTTCCTCTCAATGGTTATGCTAATGGTACAGCATTTTATCAGCCAGTCGGCCCTGACATCAGGTGCAAACTCAAAATTGCAAGTGGGACCACAAACTAAAATCAGTGTCTTGATACCCCATTTATGTTGTAACAGTCATGACCTGGAGGGAAAAAGGTAAGAACAGCAAGTCAAAAATCATGGCAGCCATCATTAGCAACACCTGAAAAGCATCCGAGGACAACCCATAAGGATCATGCCAGAGTCTCTTGCCTCAAGTGCAAGAAAAATAGACACTGGGTAAAGGACTGTACACTAAGCCCCTGCTGTCTGTGTGAAGGCACTAGTCACAACTCCTGACAGTGGAGAATCAACTGCCCCCCACACTCCCATTGAGGGACTCAGTTGAGACTGGTAGTGCAAAGGGAGGAGCTAGGTTAAGACTGAAGGGGCCTAGGGCTTCCTCACAGCCCCTGTCCAGGATCATTACTCTGAGGAGGCCCAGGTAACTCTGGACATGACAAGTTCCATTTTTCAGTATGGGGGCAAGTTACTGTCCTTACTGCTTATGCAGGAAAACTGTCCACTAGGACCATGACTGTTATAGGAATGGGGGTGGGGGAAGGCATTTCACCCCTCCTTTAGCCTGACAACTTGAGACAAGCTTTCCAGGAGCTCAGTAATACCATGCTGCCTGGCCCCCACTGTTGGAAAGGGATGTTGTGGTTAACATAGGGGTGCTGCTACAATTTAAGCACCACTCAGGATTGCTAGTGGTCAGTGATGCAGGCAATGCTCCAGATCATGTCAATAGGTCAATCTATTATGGTATACTGGGAGGCCTGGAAGGACTAGAATGGCAGTGCCAAATACAGCTTGAAGACCCAATTTTCCCCAACCAAATACCCAATTAAGCTGGAAGCAAGAAAGGGCTTGGTGTCCGTACTTAAGGAATTGCTTTCCCATAGACTAAAACCCTGCCGTTCTCCCTGCAATATTCCCATTTCACCTGTTTTACAACCTTTGGGGGAATATATGGTACAGAATCTCAGGGCAATTAGTGAGGCTGTGGTCTTCACCCATTAGTGGCAGATCATGCTCATGCTGCCATTTGGAAAGAGATGACTACTAAGTGGTAAACATTCCCCCCAAAGCATGGGTCTGAAATTCAACTATTGGAAGCAATATACTTGCCAGAGGCTGTAGCCATAATCCACTGTAGAAGGCATCAAAAGGACTTAACCCCAATAGCACAGGGAACAAAGAGGCCAAAGCAGCCCTGGGGTGCAATCTCAAATCTTAGCACCACTTCCTTTCTATGACTCCAATAGAACCCGAATATATACCACAGGAATAAAGGAGCAATGAGGATGACAAGGAACCTGGCAGTATACGGGATCAGAACTATCTCCCTCAGCCCAATGAATGGAGGATTATAAAAACCCTGCATGACTCTTTCCATATGGAAAGATGCCACTCTAGCCATGGTACACAGGCTCTTCATTGAGCCTAACTTGCTTCAGTGGTTAAACGGGTCTGTCATCCTGTTCACTGCACGTTCGGCCACCCAGAAAACAGAATGCCTCCTCTAATAGAGCCAGTCCAGAGAAGGAGAGCTTATCCAGAAGACCGATAATTGGAGTTTACCCACATGCCAGCTTGTAGAGAATACAAGTTTTTGCTAGTACTTAATAGGCATGTTTACTGGGTGGGTTGAGCTTACTCTACCAGAAGGCTAGTGAGGTTACAAGTTCTCTTAAAGCAGATAATCCCATAGTTTGGGGTTACCCCAAAGCCTCTAAAGTGATAACGGCTTGTCTTTTTTCTCCCAGATAACTTAAGGTATTACTGAGGCTCTCAGTGTCAAATGCTATTTACATTCAGCTCAGAGGCCTCAGTCCTCCAGGAAAGTGGAAGGGGCGAGTCAAGCTAAAATGAGTGTTAGCTATGTCAGGAAACATCAAACTTGGGCTAACTTACCGAATATAGGACTCTTAAGAATTCATAACTGAGAGCAAGAAGTATTAGCCCATAAGTGCTTGTTATATGGGAGGCCATTTTTAACTAATGATCTCATAACTGATCCAGAAATGGCTGGGTTAATAAGATACCTAGTTAACCTGGGGCAATTTCAGC
This sequence comes from Homo sapiens, assembly GCF_000001405.40. Lineage (NCBI taxonomy): Eukaryota > Metazoa > Chordata > Mammalia > Primates > Hominidae > Homo > Homo sapiens. Next base: position 114,178,546 of record NC_000012.12, read on the forward strand.
AGGCATTACAGGAGTTTGGAACTTAAAGACTCCTCCTACACCAGGAACTAACCAGCAAGCCAAGGTCAGGCCAGGAGATAATATATTTAAGACATAGAAAGAGGGGTCACCCACTCAACTACAACCCAAATGGAAGGGACCTTTTTCAGTGGTGTTGGCCACACCTTCTGTGGTTGAAGTACTGGTTATTAGACAGTTGGATACATCTTTCCAGGGTCAAGCTTGCAATACCTGAAGCCCCGGACCTGGAACCTGAGGCTCCCGCCAGCTGCTATACCTGTGAACCTGTTGAAGACCTGAAGCGCCTGTTCAAAGACAGTCAGAAGTAGGTGCCTATCAATTTTCCCTGGTGTCTTTGTTGCACGGTTACTATAAGTTGGATGGTAGTCCAGATTTAAAATGTTAGCCAATTTTTTGCTCAATTCTTGCACAAGGGTTTCAGCTAGTTTTGGAACAAAATCAGGCAAAAAAATTATGACTGGGTCAAGCCAGCTGCACCTTTTACAACCAAATAGAAGGCTCACCACAACCCACAGATACCCACCTAACTACCTACTATTAGAGACCCATGATCTGATAGGCAGGGACAATGCCTGTGACCAGCAGGAAGTAGCTACACAAGGCTGGTCTTCAGCCCTTCCACCTTCCATGAAGATTTATGAGAATCACACCTCTCAGGGAAGTGAGGCTGAATAGGGAATTAGGATAACCAAAGGTTAAAGCATGAGACAATAGCAAGTGAAGCCAGTTCTAAGGCAGGATTAGGCAGCATACAGGCCACATCCTCACTTCTGTGACAAATTTCCACTTCAGCATCTAATTGGTCACGGGCCAGTCCTTCATTATATTATAACCAACTGGAGGCCCCTAAAAGGCCACCTAAGAGTGTTACCAAGTTCTTTCACCTTAGTACAAAGTCTAAGGAACATTGTAATCAGAGCTCTCGAGCCACTTTCTCGAGCTGGCTCCCACTCTGGACAGCACTTTCATTTCAGTGGATCTGCACACTTTCATTGCTTCGTTTATGTTTCTTTGCATGTTGTTCAATTTTGTTCAATGCACCAAGAACCTGGAAAACAGGCAAGACTTCATCTGGCAACAGATTGAGTGGCTCCAGCTCATGTACCTTGGGTGGACAGTTCTACAATGCATCTGTGTACTTCCTGCATGACCCCAGTGGAAAGCCTCAGCTGTTTACAGAAACAACTTTAGGAGTACACCCTTCTTGGTCTAGCCACTTATGCCACCAAGATCACCTGCTTAATAAGCTACCTGTCTCCCCACCCTGGACCTCGTTATCAGGCTCTAAATTTCAAGTGAGCCCAAGACAGCTCAGTGGGGTTTATGCAGAGATGACAGGACTTACAGAAGCCAGAATCCCAGCCCAAGTGGAGTACAACTTTGCCTTGTGGGAATGCTGCTTGTAACTTGGGAGGGCACAGGTGACCTCATTTTATGAGATGTAATTAGTATCCAAAGAACATCTTGTGGTGATGAACAGTGTGATACTTAATACTGAGTGTCAACTTGATTGAAGGATATAAAATATTAATCCTGGGTGTGCCTGTGTGGGTGCTGCCAAGAGAGATTAACATTTGAGTCAGTGGGCTGGGGAAGGTAGATCCACTCTTAATCTGGTGGGCATTATCTAATCAGCTGCCAGGCAAATATAAAACACGCAGAAAAACATGAGAAAGTGAGACTGGCCCAGCCTCCCAGCCTACATCTTTCTCCCGTGCTGGATGCTTCCTGCCCTTGAATATCCAACTCCAAATTCTTCAGTTGAGACTCGGACTGGCTGTCCTTGCTCCTCAAAGCTTGCAGACAGCCTATTGTGGGACCTTGTGATTGTGTAAGTTAATACTTCATAAACTCCCATCGTATTAGTTCTGTCCCTCTAGAGAACCTTAATACAAAGAAGCACATCTACTATTTAACAGGTTGTGTTGTCCCAGAGAAACGATTGAGGTGGTATGGCATTAAAACTGGGGAGAGAAGTTCAAGATTAGGGCAGTCAGAAAGTCACACACCTGCTGTGCCAGACAGTTCTGGGGGTATGTTAGTGAAAATGAGACTCAGCCCGTAGTACACATGGACTGAGGAAGTTAGACCCTGGGGACCATCTAAGGATGGCAGAGTGAGGGTTGAAAGTTATCTACCAGGTACAGTGTTTATTTGGGTGATGTGTACAACTAGAAAGTCCAGACCTCACAATCATGCAGTATTTCCATGTAATTAAACCATGTCATCACAGATGTTGCTGTGACACCCCAACTTAGTTACAGGACTTATCCTCTCAGCCAGGTATGCTTTCTGCTGCACCTTTTACAACCAAATAACCTGTACCCAATGAGTTAAATAAGAGACTCAGCCCATAGAAATACATTTTTCTTCAATCATGGAAAAAATGACTTTAGGTGATCATGTAGTGTCTAGTATCACTCAGAATAAGCCCACTTTTATAATTGGAGCAAGTGTTAGGACAGTAGTTACCCGCCTTTGCCTCAGCTTTTGTAAGGGCTATGATTTCCCTTTAGAAGACTCGTTCATTTTTGCAGAGGAGGTTGTCAGCAGCAGCTCATGCCTCATGTCCACCACGCACATAGGGTGTGCCAGCCACCTGACCCTCCCTGCAGCCCTGGTGGGAGAAGTATACCTTCTTATTCTTAACCCAAACCTACCAGGACTCCCAGGGACTAACTCAGCCTCATTTGCCTGAGAGTTTACACTAAGGGCTTGTCCACACCCTTCTTGCATCTCACATTTTAGCACTTCAGCATCATTAACTAAGCCTTCAAGAGCCACAATTAAAGTAGAGTGTTTTCACCGGAAGATGACCAGTTGAGGTGTGGCAGGTGCTCAACTAGGAACACCCCACAGGGGAAAGCAGTGAGCTAAATACTAAGAGGAGAAAACATACCGGCTGAGAGGATAAGTCTTGTAGGTAAGTTGGGGTGTCACAGCAACATCTGATGACATCCATATGCTCATGACAAGTCTTTTTTAAACAAAAATTCAACTCAGAGGGTATAACTTAGCATTTTGGCCAGAGATGTGTAGAGAACAGCAGGAGCCCAGAAGGTGCTTGAGCAGGGTTAATGCCACCTGAAGATGTTAAGCCAGCTCATCAATGCCTCCTTTCATCTGAAAATGTCTAGCACAAATGAGACGCCTCCCAACAGCAGCTGGTACTTTGAGCATAAATTGAGCCCAACACTTGACATCGAGAAAGCCCAGTGCTAGAGGCGAGTCTACTCCCAGGTGCTTGAACAGAGCTAATCACAGCACGAGGGCTTAAGACAAGGCTTCTTGGAGGACTACCACATGGAATAAGTATACCGGTCCCACTGAGCGTCCCCAAGCCCATTCTCTTTAGGCTCCCACTTGGCACAAGCTGTCATGGACTTCACATAGCATTAAGAGCTTATGAAGTTTTAGCTCTTTGAAGAGCTAGGACACACCAGGCACCCCCACCCCCAACCTTCTATTCCATAAGGAGCTGAGTTCAAGAGAAAGCCAAAATTCGAGAAGCAGCAACCATAGGGATGCTTGGGACCCAGCCGAGGTCCCCTGCCAGCAGCCAACACTTACAGAGAAGCTAGCTCTACTTGTCCAGGCCTGGAGGATACGATAGCCACCTTCTGGTTTTAGGCTCAGCCTTTCTGAAAGTAATCTCCCCACCTAGGTTGCCCTGTTGTGGGAGCTTTCTTTAAACTCATGTCTAATGCAGAGCTTTGACCAGCTGAACAGCAGAGTCTTAATGAGAGAACTCCATAGATACAACACCTCCCACATCAGCGGTAAGGTAGAAGCACGACAGGTTAAGCAACTTGCAAGGTCCACAGGAAGTGGCAGGGCTGAGATTCCAGCTCAGACAGCCTGGCCACTTCGCTCCATGTTACAACTTGGTTCAGTGGGGTTTCAGTTATGCCTAAGGCTCCCCACTTTTGGCTGCTTCTATGGTCAGCACCAACTTGCTGTAGGCCTAAGAGTAACTTGGTAGAAACTGAAAGATACCTATAGAACCGGGGCAGTTGGCAGCGGGTGGGTGGGTGGGGGGAGCATTGCAGCAGCCCCTAGAACCCCTTTCCTCAAGAGGTTCAGGTTAAACCCATTCCAGGATCTGCTCACAGCTGCAACTAGAGTTCTTGTCCATTTCCTCCCACCCTTCAGCAGGGGGAGTTTTCAGAGCCCAGCATCCTTGCAAGGTAATTCTGCAACCAGCAGAGTTATACACTGCTGGAGCAAGGTAAGCCTTATTCCATAGAGGGAGGGGAGTTAGGAGAATGGAGGATTCCGTAGGACCACAGTACATCCCTGTTAGTTTAGCAGACCTCATTCTTAGCCTTGTGGGGTACCCCTACATGGAGCCCACAGGCAGATAAGGGCACAGAGCCCTACCGTGGGTCAGGACCTTCTGGAGAAGGCTCACGAGAGGTAGAGAAGTAGCTTCTTGCTTTTTGAGAGTTTCAAGGAAGAGGTTCCTAGGCAGAAAGCTACATTTCTCCTTTCTCCCCTCTTTAGTTCTCAGCTTACAGGGGTGCTGGAGTCTAATGAAGCCTTTGTTCAGAAAGGCAGGTCTCCCTCACAGTTCTAAGCCTCCTGAGTTTGCATTCAAACCACCCTATCTCTAACTCAAAGCAACTTCAATATTGCTTTTTATCCCTTCATCGAAATTAGAAAGGGTCGAGACTACTTCTGGATTTTCCTAAATACTAGAAAAACCAAGAGAAAGCTGAATAAGTCTCCCCCCACCCCCAACAAAAGGTAGTCTTGGTTTAGAAGAGAGCGAAAAAATACACCTCTGTCGTTCAGGCTCAAGAGTAAAGATGACAGCAGAGGCAGGAGAAGGTCTTTTGAACTCTCCCCTTGGTGCTATCAGCACTGCTCATTGGCTAGCTGGATGCGCCCTCCCTAATGCCTTTCACCTGGGCACCAGGCACAGGTCCTGGAAGTATTTAATTCCAGGTGCTGTTTATAAGAAGCATGAGTGGCCGGGCACTGTGGCTCATGCCTGTAATCCCAGCACTTTGGGAGGCCGAGGTGGGTGGATCACCTGAGGTCAGGAATTCGAGACCAGCCTGACCAATATAGTGAAATCCTGTCTCTACTAAAATTACAAAAATTAGCCAGGTATGGTGGCATGCACCTGTAGTCCCAGCAACTTGGGAGGCTGAGACAAGATTCCTTTGAACCTGGGAGGTGGAGGTTGCAGTGAGCTGAGATTGTGCCACTGCACTCCAGCCTGGGTGACAGACCAAGACTCCATCTCAAAAACAAACAAAAAAACAAACCATAAGCTTCCAGTTTATGCCTGCTACTTTAGTGTAATGAAGGATGCTGTCTTTTACTCTCAAATGTGTCCCATTTTGACAATAAGTGGCCCTATTTACAAAGAAAGATGTGTGTCCTTCTATATCCATCCTGAGCCTTGCAGAAAATCTCCCCCACCAAATCAGGATCAAGGACAAAACCAGGCGCAGATGGGAGAAGGAGGTGTTAAGAGAGCATCACTGAGATTTCTCTGGCCTCTGTAAATAAGCCACAGTTGTGGACTTGGTTTCCCAAGGCCTAGCCATAACTCTCCCCAACAAAATCAGCTTCCTTCTTACCCTCTGGTCTCTTTCTTCCTACCCCTCCCCCACAGTCACCCTCTAGCCACCTCAATGCTGTTCTGTTCTTTTAACTTAGGATATCCTCTTGACAGCTAGATGTGGGGTTTTCATTCTGTGGTTTTATTTAAATCCTTATTAAACTGTTAGCGCTTTAATCTGTACTACCCCGAGTCAAATTCCAGCTCTGCCCTGACTAGCTGTAAACTCTGGATCAGTTAGTTTGCTTTTCTTCACCTCTGTTTCTCCATCTGAATATGGGGTAATCCTCATAAATTGGGGACATTATGAGGATGAAACAAGTTGATATTTGTAAATCTTTAGAACAGTGCTTGGAATATAAGTGCTGTAAAAGTGTCTTCGTTGCAAGTAAGAGGATGGAGAAGAGGAACAGAATTGATATCTAAGTTCCTTCTGTGAGCTGGCTCATTATATCATGATGAACTTTAATTCACTTCAGGTATGCGGCGTGAAGGAATTACTGTTATCCGCATTCTCATTTTACAGAAAATAAAAACAGGCCAGCACGGTGGCTCACACCTGTAATCCCAGCACTTTGGGAGGCTGAGGCGGGCAGATCACTTGAGGTCAGGAGTTTGAGACCAGCTTGGCCAACATGGTGAAACCCCGTCTCTACTAAAAATACAAAAATTAGCCCGGCATGGTGGCAGGCACCTGTAATTCCAGCTACTCGGAAGGCTGAGGCAGAAGAATCGCTTGAGCCTGGGAGATAGAGTTTGCAGTGAACCAAGATCATGCCACTGCACTGCAGCCTGGGCAACAGAGCAAGACAATATCTAAACAAACAAACAAACAAAATTTAGAGGTTAGGGTATATGCACAAGATCACCCAACCAGAAAGTGGCAGGTGTGGCTTTAAACTTGAGTTTGACCGTTTCCAAAATCTCAAATATATTGAGCACATATTATGTTTATCCTAAACTTAAGATTCTCAAATTGCAAGGGCACCTCCTATTTCTGGCACGTGGGAATTTGCTGAAGTACAAGTTTCCACTATTTATAACTCTCCCGATTGTGTGTACTTTGATCACAATGCCTCTTTGGACATCCTATTTCTAGACTGAAGAGGCAGTGTGATATGCTTGATGAGCCTCCTGTGTATGCACCCTTCTTGAGGGTTGCTTTGGATCCTTAGAAGCATGCAGGGCAGAAAACCATCAAGAGTGAGCGTTTGATTGCTCTGATTGTTAATAATAAGGAAATGTAACCGGTCTTAGGGAAATAGAAAGTCTAGCTGGATACACAATGATTATAAGAAGGGAGCTGCTACAACATCAGCTTTCTGGAGGCAAGGATTTGAGGATTTTTGTCTGTTTCTTTCACAGCTGTGTCTCTGGCGCCCAGAACAGTGCCTGACACATAGTAGGTGCTCAGTAAATACATTGTCTTAGTAAATGTAAATGAATGCATGACTGAACAAATGAGCAGAATGAAGGAAACAGTGTAACAGAATGGATTACAAGATAAGCTTTGACACAAGAGATGTGGATTCAAACTGGAGCTCCATTCCACTTTGTTCAGGACCATCCCAAGTTTAGCCCCAAAGTCTTGCATCCCAGGAAAACCTTCAGTCTGGGTAAAATCAAACAGTTGATCACCCTAGCCATTAGTCAAGGGATGCACAATCTTGTGCAAGTCCCTCAACTTCTCTCAGCCTCAGTTGTGTCACCTGTACATGGGGATAACAATATTATCTACCTCATAGGGTTATTGTGAGGATTAAATGAGATAATACGCATTGAGTACTTACTACGGCATTTAGCACATAGTAAGTATCATTGGTGGTAGCTATTGCTGTTACCAATACTTCTATTGGCTCCTGGGTCTTGAAAATGCATCCCACTTCCTAATATATGCTGCTGACCTTGCTTAAATTAAGATCCTTGGTTTCATGGCAGAGGGGGAAAGTGAGGCACACAAGAGCCAAAAACATCAGGAAAGGTGTATCTTGGACATTTTCCCCTGCAGAGAAGTGGTCTCACCCCTCCTCGCCCTAGGCAGCTTTTTTAGCAATCATATCTGGTTGTTCCGTGCTGATTTCCAACAGATGTTCCTCTAATGAACCACACTGTAATCTCAGGGCCTTAATATAGTGCCGTGGTGTGATAAGTTCGAAATGGCTGTCATCATTGCCCGCGGGGATGGTCTGGTCATTGTTTGGGACTGTCTTCCTCTAATTGTTATGTGAAGGAGAATTTATTTTCTTCCATCATCTCTTTGCCCCGTACACACTCTCCACCACCCTGGGCCCCAGTTCCTGTTCAAATTAAATGTCTGCGTCAGAACCTCCTAGAAAGTGCTCAGTGCACTGTGATGAGGGAGATGACAGAGGGAGGAGACTGGGAGAGAGTGGTGGTTCAATCTCGGCCTGGAATCGATATTTCCAGGCAAAAAAAAAAAAAAAAACCATGCAGATTCTGACTCTGGGGCTAGAAACGAGCTCCTGGGGGATGAGAGGCAGATGTTCCCCGAGCAGGAGGTATGCGGAGTCGAGGACAGGAGGGAGCGGGTGTAATGTAGCCTGAGGCTCAGCAGGGAGCATTCATTTACAAATGCTCTGGAGGCTCAGGACCTTCTGCATGAGCGGGAGGGGGGAAGCCAGGGATGGGAAGATGTTTCCAGCCTCTGTCTTGTTCATCTGAATGACCTCAGAGCCCCAGCTGGGGCTCAGGATGAATGGGAGCTCTCATCAGTCTGATCAGATCAACAAGCCTTACTGAAGGTTTTCTCTGTGCCCGGCACTAGATGCAGCAGGTTAAGTAAAACAGAGCCTGCGATGAGGATATAGCCGCAAACAGCTCATTGAGAGAGGGCCAGCACCTCTAGCCTGGCTGGGTCTGTTTGCTATGTGGGACTACATCAACCAACAACAGGAGGCTGGATGGTATTTCTCAGAATACCTGATTTTTGCCTTGAATTACGATAATAATATCAATAAATAGCAGCACACATTCCTGAGTTCTTACCAAGACTCGGGCACTGGGGTGTGTTCCATGTACATTTCTCCATTTAATTGTCACAATAACTTCATGAGGTGGATGTTTTCACCCCCACTTGGTAGGTAACTAAGGCCCAGACAAGTTAACATCACTTGACTAAGGTCTCACGGCCAGTGAGAGGCAGAGGCAGGATTTGAACTTGGAGCCCTCTGACTCCAAAACCTAATTTTAACCACCCTACTAAAGTATAAATCCAAATTATGGCAATTTAAAAATTTCCAGTTGTTAGGATAATAGAAAAAAAATTTATTTCTTTATAATACACTCAAAGAAAATCTGTTTAGTTCCATGTTTAATAAGAGAATGGGGCTGGGTTTTTCATCATGTAATAATCAGAACAACATAAAAAATTCAAAGAATCTGTTGCATACAGATTTCTCATTTTATAGGAATTAACCTCTGATGCTCTTTCTCCCTACAATAAGCTCTTCAATCCTCTGATATTCACTTGGGGGAAATTTCATCCATATAGAATTCACGCTGCACAGCAACCACCCCTGTAGAAAAGACCTTGAAATTATCCCTGTATGGAAATATCATTGCTATCCATGATATTTGAAAATAATGGAAGAAAAGTAAAAAACCAAATGCAGCAATAAGGAGAGAGAGCATAAATAACCCTCTTCTTGCATCCTCAATGAATTAGACCAGGGGCCAGCAATCTTTTTTCCACAAAGGACCAGGTAGTAAATATTTCAGGCTTGGCAGCCTATATAGTCTCTCTTGCAACTTTTCAACTCTGCTGCTGTGTGAATGCAGCCATAGATGCTATGTAAACAAATTCCCCAGCTGTGTTCCAATTAAACTTTATTTGCAAAAGCAGGCAGTAGGCCTTGAATTAGTAGGTAACATACAGCTGGGAGGACTTACACCCGGTGACCTTACCCTGTAATGTGATGGTAAGATTTTTCCAAATGGAAGCAAAATATCAAAATAAATAATCCTAATAAATAGCATTAATTGAAAGCTTTTAAAGGTCAGGTTCTTTCTCTGTGTTATCTCATTGAACATTCTCCCAAATTTTATGATATAACTACTACCACTGTCATCTCCATCTCCAGAACAGGAAGCCCGCATAAGAAGAACTCACTTACTCCTGGCTGAATGAATATATTTCCATTTTAGGGAGGGGAAAACAGATGCTCAGAATGTTGAGTCATTTGTCCCAAGTTATTGAGCACATAATAAGTGTTCAGTAAATGTTAGTTCCAAGACTAAGTTGGAATTTGAAGTCACACAGTCTGACTCCAGAACCCACCTTATCCCTTTAATGTGGAGAGCTGGGACCTTTGCTTCCCAGATGCTGGTTCACCAACCCTACTTCGAGAAAGGCTCCCCTTTTTCCTCACTGCAAACCCTCAGCACTTAGCTTTCCCAAGCTTTCCTGATTTCCTCTTCCTCCATGAGTCTCAGCATTATCTAAAGCATCAGTCACCCCTGGCCCTTCAGAACCCCATCCTCGTGTGATCTAGGAATGTTTCCAAGGGGAGAGGAGAAAGAAGAGGAACTTGTGGGGCTGAAAAGGCCAGAGGACAGGGCTGGGGGTCAGATGAGGACAGTGTCAGGTAGGAGTCAACCTCTCTAACTCTGGGGTCAAATCCCAGCTCTATCACCTTCTAGCTGTGGTTAGGCACATTGTTTAGTCCCTCTGGGCCTTGGTCTGCTTATCTATAAAATGGGACAATAATAGTGCCTCCCACCCAGATAGAACGTAATTAGAAAATCAAATGCAGAGATGAGTCCAGCAACTGGCACATCATACGGGCTCAATAAATGTCTTGGGTGACTTGATCGTGAAGCCATATTGTGTTTTGCGGGAAAGCAAGTAGACCTTTGTGGTTCAGATATGGGGTTTGTGTTGGGGATAGTGGGGCAATAAGTGCAGAAGGGTTAAGGTGGAGCTAAACTATAGGCAGTTATAAAGCAGTGGTGCTGAGACATTAATGTCATCAGCATCACCCAGGTACTTATTAAAATGCAGATCCCCAGGCCTTCCCACATGTTCTATTTGGTAGATTTGAATTGGGGCCCCAGAATCTGCATTTTTCAACAAGTATCCTAGTGATTCCAATGCACGGGGAAGTCTTCTATGTCCACAGAATGCAACGTGGATATTAAGCTAGGACATCTGGATTTCCCCGTGTTAAGCAGGTGGGGCACTGAAGGGTTGTCGTCAGGGAATAATCCAGGATACACACCATTTTAGGATGATGAGTCTGGCAGAGGTGTGAAGATGGATTAAAGAGGAGAGAGGATAATTAAGAGGCTCTTATAATAGTCCAGGCGTGAATCACTAGTTTTAATATCTCCCTGTTAGGTGTTTTAACTGTTGTGAGATAGTCTCTGGGCACCAGTCTGGGGACCTGATGCCACTAGGGCAGACAGGGGACCATGAGTATCTTCTTTCACAATCCCTCTTCCCCATTCTTGAACATTTTTCATTGACATTAATAGTGGCAACAGTGACCATTCATTAAATATTCTGTCTGTATTTGGTCCCAAACACATTGTGTGTATCATCTTTTTTAATGCTGTGAGCAGCCCTGTAAGATTATCCTTCTAAGAAGCTCAGAGAGGTGAAGTCACTTGCCCAAAGTCACACAAATGAGAAGACACAGGGGTAGGGGTTGAATCTAGTGCCTTCTGAACTCAAAGATTGTAAGCCTTACTGCCTTCCCAGAGATGTCTACCAATCCAGATCCTACTCATCCTCTAAGGCAAACTGCCTGATGATTCCTGAGTTTTTCGTTTATCTCTCTTCTTACTCATGGAATCACCCAAGGTGGGTGTTCCTAGGTGACAGTGACTACTACTCCACATAGTGACTCCTACTCCACATAGTGACTCAGGGACCCAGGGTCTTTCTGTTTTGTTGCTTTGCTTTCCTTTTATTTATTTATTTACTTTGTGGGGAGGTTATTTTTTCTTTTTCTTGGACCTTGCAGGGATGAAAATTTTGTCTCTTTATTTAATTGAAAGACCAGGCAGAAGAGGACTAAAGGAGGTGAAAAGCTGTACTTTCTTCTTAAAAGCCTTGTCCAGTGATTTGCACTCACATTCCATTGGCTAGAAATTGGCCTTCAGATGAGACCCATCTCTCACTGGTGGATTGAAACAGCTTCCCAACCAGTCTCTCTGCTCCCCTATAGTCTAGCACATCGGATAAAGTGTTATCCTCTTAAGACAAATCAGATCACATCTCTCCCTGGATGGAAACTTTCCAGTGGCTTCCCGTTGCACTTACAATAAATCTAAGTCTTTGCCATGACCTAAGCCCTACCTAACAGGGCCATTGCTCTCCCCCTTACAGAGCTCTGGCCACATCACCCTTCATTCTGTTCCCGTCTCAGGGCCTTTGCACTTGCTAATTTCTCTGTTATAATGTCTACTGTCTTTGCATCCTTGCATGACTGGCTCTTTTTATTATTCAGGCCTCTATTTAAATGTCACCTTCTCAGTGACACCTTTACTGACTACCTAACGTGGGTCCCTCCTTTCCATTTTCTGCCTATAACATGTCCTTATTTTATTTTCCATATAGCAGTTATCACTCTTGAAATTACCTTATTAGTAGATTCATTGTCTGTCTTCTCTTCCACCAATATGGAAGCTCTCTGGGACAACAGAGACCTGTCTCTGATTTTCTGCTGTGTTTATACTCCGTAGCACAGAGTAAGCACTTAGTATTTATTCTATGATTCATAATGAAACTTACAGCGGTTAAGCCACTTACTGGAGGTCACAGCTATGTGGAAAAGCTAGGATTAGAACCTAGGTCTATCTTGTTCCAAAGCCCATGTTCTTTGTTATTCCAAGTTGCCTGGCTGAACTGATGGCAGTTTCACAGGCAGACGCCACATTGTGACCCCAACTCTGCTGTCAAGCAGGGAGGTCGCATCTCTTGGATTGCCCCAAAGACAGGTTGGGATGGCTTGTCTACTCAGAGGCCATGTGGCTTTTTCTTGTTATAGACACCTCCCTCTTGCCAGGCATAAATGAGGGCCAGGAATCTTCAGCTTTTAAATGGCCTTGGCTTCTGGCCCATAGCAGTAAGGGAGGAAGTAAAGGGATCAGGCTTTGAAATGAGAGTGGCTGGAGTTTGGACTATGGGATGTGGAGAGAGAGGGAGAGAGAGAGATGGGGTTGCAAACTGCAGAAAGCCCTGGAAAGCTCTAAAGAGTGATGTTTGGCTTTACTAGACCTGAGTCCCAACAGGTAGGGAGTAGAGGTATCAAATGCCCAAGAGGCATTGGAGAATTCTTTGTCCTGAGGGGATGGGAGATTCCAATGGGATTCATTCTTGTGCAAGGGGATTCAGGGGAGCCCTGCCAACTTGGCTGAGCTGAATATTCTCTCTGCCCCTCCGAGGCATTCTCCACCCACATCCACACTGCTCTGTGCCCAGGAGCTATACGTATAGAAAACTGCATCTAGATCCACTGGGGCTCTCTTGCTCTCCGGCTTCCAGACCAGCTCGACCAATGGGAGGCACCCCAGAAGATCAGAGGGCGGGAGGAGAGAGAGGATGGGGTATTTCTCCCTCTTCAAGGCCCCTCTTGACTTCTGTAGCTGTGGCTACTTTACCGTATGACTACAGCTCCCGTTGCACAGTTTTCTTCCTTAGCTGCACCACCCACTAGGTTCTGGTTACCACATGGAGCCTGGGAAAAATAAGCATGTTTCACTTAACACATTGCCAGCACTGCTGCCCTTTAAAAAACTGGGGTTCTGTTGGTAAGAAAAAAAAAAGGGGAAATGGGATGCCATAAACTAGAAATGTCTGCTGCAGGGAGTACCCAGGTCACAAGTACCCAAATAAAGACTGATAATTCAGGCACCAGAAAAAGTGTTGCATGATGTGATACTCTAAATTCCTTTTTGATTCTGTGATTCTATAACTGTGCAGGACTTTTCCCCTCCAACAACTATTTATTGAGCACCTACTGTATGCCAGGAATACAGAGTGCACAAAGCAGACCAAGCTCTGCTGTCACAGAGCAGGAGACAGATGATTAAGTAAACCAATGAACAAACAAGGGATTACATAATCCCTGCCATGAAGTGCCTTCCCAGGGGTGCAGTGGAGTAGGTTAGAGCTGTATGGTAGTAGACGACTCCCGACCCATCTCTAAAATGGGGGTGGGGTTTGTGATTTCTTTCGTTTTTGTTTTTTTGAGATGGAGTTTCACTCTTGTTGCCTAGGCTGGAGTGCAGAGGCGCAATCTTGGCTCACTGCAAACTCTGCTTCCCGGGTTCAAGCAATTCTCCTGCCTCCGCCTCCTGAATAGCTGGGATTACAGGCATCTGCCACCATGCCCAGCTAATTTTTTTGTTTTCTTAGTAGAGACGGAGTTTCTCCATGTTGGCCAGGCTGGTCTCCGACCCCTGACCTCAGGTGATCCACACACCTCAGCCTTCCAAAGTGCTGGGATTACAGGCATGAGCCACCACAGCTGGCCGAGTTCATGATCTCTAAGGACCTTCCCAGCTGTGGTTACTATGATTCCACTTCAGACAGTTTTCCTGCAAGATAGAAACGAGTGGTGGAAGAATCAACTTTTATTTCTTGCTGACACAGCACCACGCGGTTAAGTTGGCCATCTATTTAAATACATATATATTCACTGAACTAGGCACTTTTTAGGATAAGATTGCATTGGGGAGTTTAAATATTTGGACCTACTTCCAGAACCATTTGGTGAAGAACACATCATTTCAACCAAATATATCACTGCTTTCAATCCATTTTACTAAGTGTCTGTTGCCTTGGGTTGCTTGGGGCCCTTGGAGAGAGATGAGATCCATCCCCATAGAGCAATAATTAGAAAATCATGTAGTTCAATGGGTATGAGTGTGTCCTAGCCGGTGTGAGCAGGCGAGATGATTGAGAGGAGGTTGCATGAAGGGGATGGACTGAGCCCAGGAGCTGCCTTGACCATGTGTATCTATGCCCAAGTAGACAAGGCTTCCCTGTTCCCCACTTACCACTACACCCATACCCCCAACAGCTCCTACCACTTGAAGCTGATTTCGCCCTCACATGGGTTCCCCATGCACAGGGGGGAAGACCTAAACCAGCGGTGCCAGCCTACCTCCTGCCTTCAACCATTTTGTGCTGTCTGCACTCATAGCATGGGGTCCTGGGTGGAATCACTGACCTCATAAATAAAGCCTGTTCAGGGCAGGGAAGGGGAGATAGGTCAAGGCCTCCTAGGGCCATTTACAGGCAGACAGTGGGCATGTACTGAGCATTCACAGGGTGCCAGGCCCTTGACTTTTTCACTGCAAGCCATCCAACAACCCTACGAGGTGAGTGGTATCGAATCCCTTCTGGGAAGATGGAAACATTGCTTCTCAGCCTTTTGGCTAAGATTAAATGTAGGGAAGTGGAAACTGAGAGTACCAGTCTTGCAACAGACAGATGATTCATTCATGGTGGTTAATAAGGGGCAAGTTTAATAAAAGGACAACTTACGAAGTCACAGGCAGGGTTTGGTGCAGTATCCCAGGGGAAATAACAGATAGGACAGAACCTCTATTGCAGAATAATGCCCCACCCCCCACCAATGCCTGTGTCCTAATCCCCAGAACTGTGAACATGTCACCTCCCATGATGAAACAGACTTTGCACATATGATGAAGTTAAGGATTGTGAGATGGGGGTATTCTCCAGCAGGACCAATATAACCACAAGGGCCCTTGTAAGGGGCAGGAAGGCCAAAGTCAGAGAGAAAATGTGCCTGGAAGCAGAGGTGAAGCACTTTGAAGATGGAGGAAGGGGCCATGAGGTGAGGGAGGCAGGTGGCCTCTAGAAGCTGGAAAGAACAAGGAATTGGATTCTTCCCTAGAATTTCCAGAAGGGAAAACAGCCTGGTTGATATGTTGACTTTAAACCAGTGAAACTGATTTTGGATCCCTGATCTCCAGAACTGTCAGAGAATAAATGACCACTCTGTTTTGTGGTCATTTGTTTCAGCAGCAACAGGAGGTGAATACACACACACACCCCTAGGCTGAAAGGGGGAAGGGAGGGAGAGCATTGCAGGAAAGGCTGCCCCAGGAGCGGAGCCCTTTGCTCACAGTGTGCGGCCAGCCAGAGGAGGAAGAAGCCAGGCCATCAACACCCTGATCTCCTTTTCTTCCCTCCTTCCACCCTCCTGTGAGGCTCCCTATGGGCTAACTCAAGCCATGGGACAGGGGAGGATGGAGAGTTGCCGAGACGAGGGGATGAGCTGATAGATATGCAGCCCAGAGTCAGGCAAGGCTCTTAGCATTTGTCTCGGAAAATAAATCACTTGCCTAAGATAATGCAGTAAATATCAGGTTCAGAAATGATGTTGTCACCACTATTTTTTAAGTTTTTTTGTGCCAGCACTGAGCAAAGCACCTCACATACAAATAATCAGAAGGCAGTGCGGTGTGGTGGATCTGGAAGTCACACTTCCTAGGGTTTAAAGGTCAGCCTCACTACCTATCTGCTGTGTGACTCTAGACATGTTACCAGACCTTTCTGAGCCTCAGTTTTCTCATGTACAATATGGGGCCAATAAGTGCACCTGCCTTGGAGGATCTCCAGTTTTAAGTGAAATAAACCAGGGAAAGCATTTTTCATGATGTTCAGCACACAGAAACTACCACATGAGTGCTAACTATCTTACAATTAGCATTTATTTGGGATTGGGATTTGGACCCGGGACTGTCTGACAGTGAGGCTGGGAAAATGTTCTGCTTGGTAACAGCTCAAAATCTTTCCAGGTCAGGCACCCCAAATATGATATGATGATAAGGGCATGTCACCTCTGTGTTCTTCTCAAAAACCCACCACCCCAGTCTCATCATGAGAAAGCCATCAGAGAAACCCCTGTGGAAGCACATTCTACAAAACACCTGACCAGTGCTCTTTAAAACTCTTAAGGTCATGAAACTACAAGGAAAGATGCAGAAATCGTCACAGGATGACTAAGTGCAATGTGGAAACCTGGATTGGATCCTGGAATGGAAAAACGAGCATTGATGAGGAAAAACAAAAAGACTAAAAGCTGAATCAAGTCTGGAGTTAACAGTAATGTATGAATGGGGGATTCTTAGATTTGACAGATGTAAGGTGTAAGATTATCATCGTACATAAGGTGAGAACATTAAGGGGAGACTGAAACTGGGTGAGGAAACCCTTCTTTGCAATGTTTTGCAACTTTTATATTTGCAACTTTTTTTATAAGCCTAAAGTTACCTCCAAATTAAAAAGTGATTTAAAAAAATTATTTCCGAAGAGATTCTGCTGGTATCCTCAGAAGCATCAAGTGTTTGTTACAGTCATACATTTAAGTAAGCAAAAGTGAGGAGAGGACGAGGCAATAAGGCTGTGTCTCTCTTAAATGCAGAAACTATAATTTAATATGATCCTGATGCTAAGATCCAGTTAAAAGGCGCCAGGAAAACATTAGCCTCCCCTGCAGGGAGATTCATTCATTTCCTCACATTTGAGGGATCAGAGAAGTGAATGTCCGCCCACATTGGGGACTCGTGTTTCCTCCTGATTTGAGCCAAAGCCAGCCACCTGTTTGCTGTCAGCCGGGCCATCCTGAGGCTTCTGCCCTCAGTGCAGAGGGATACACATACCCGGGACCTGTAGCCCCTTGTCCTCATGGCTCAAGACAGAAAGAAAGGCATTGCTGACTCTATACTTTTTCTGCTGAGATTCTGGGAAGCAAGAGGTCACTCTTTCTGTGGGAGCGATTTTGCCCTGGCTTGGAGAGCTGCGAGCACTATGCTTCTCTTGAATCACAACTATACTATTGCAACTCAGCCTCCCAAAGTGCTTGGATTACAGGCGTGAGCCACCGCGCCCAGCCTATTCTTCTAAAATATATTTTTAAGTGATGGTTTTATCTTCATCTTACGAAGTTTCCATGACTTCTTAGCCAGTCCCTTGCATTAGACATTAGTTGTTTTTAGTTTGTAACTTTATAAATAATGCAGTCATGAATATCTTTCACACACTGTGCAAATTTCTCAGTCAAATATATGACAATTTTACGGCTCTTGCTATATAATAGGGTCGATCACAACATCTGGGAAGTTTATACCAATTTAAGTGATTCACTGCAGCCTTTTCAAGGGAATCATTAAGGACCCTAGTTCTGTTTTGGTTCACCAGTGAGCAGAGATTTCATTTTCTCTAATTGGAAAAGATTTGGCCAGGAGCATAACCTAACTGATGGTCACTAATAAACCCTTTGATCTGCCCCAGGAAATGTCAAAACAAGTTTGCCCTCTTGCCTCTGAAGGCACTTGGAATCCAATTGTCCAAAGAGCTACTCTCTCTGTCCAGCCATCGCTGACCTTATGAACATTAAAGACTGTCCTGGGATGCATTTGGAGCCAGGCAGCTTAAAATTCTGAGCCTGGTAGTGGTATATAAACTGCACTTGCCCACACAGCCCACAGGAGCCAGTGGTCCAATGCACCTGAAATGATAATGCATTCAAAGTAAGCCTTATTGAATGAGGAATACCATATTTATTAACCATATCAACATTCTAAATAATGGCACATGTAGTATGTCTTCCATTGGGTTTCTTAGAGGTGGAGTCTGAGACGGAAGTCTCAGGATAACTTCAAGGGGGTTACTGAGGGACAGCTTGCTAGAGAAAATCCAGTAAGAAAGAGGGAAGCAGATCAGGGCAAATTCGGAGGCCAAGGGGAGTTGTGGTTCAGCTGAAGTCTAGTCTTAGCCTGATATGGACTGGATTTGTGTCCCCACCCAAATCTCCTGTCAACTGTGATCCCCAGTGTTGGAAAAGGGGCCTAGCGGAAGGTGATTGGATCATGGGGGTGGATGTCCCTCTTGCTATTCTCCTGATAGTGAGTTCTCACAAGATCTGGTTGTTTAAAAGTGTGTAGCACCTCCCCCTGCTTTCTCTTCCTCCCCCTCCAGCCATGGAAGGCGTGACTCCTTCCTCTTCGCCTTCTGCCATGATTGTAAGTTTCCTGAGGCCTTCCCAGCCATGCTTCCTCTACAGTCTGCAGAACTGTGAGTCAATTAAACCTCTTTTCTTTATAAACTACCCAGTCTCAGGTAGTTTTTTTATAGCAATGCAAGAACTAACTAATACATCTGATCTTGTGGGGAGCTCAGGAACACTGTTCCCCTAACCCCTCTAGGTAAGGGCCCTGGCCTTTCATACCTGGCATTAGTCAGTCGTTGGAAACTGCCTCCCCACAGCATCAAGAACACAATTTTTTAGGGAAAAGAACAGTTGTGAGCTGTTAGCAGCCAACATTCCCAGCAAGTTGGGAAATGGGTGCACCAGCCCAGTAAAGGATTCTACACCAGACACCAAGAGTGTCTACTATATTATGCATAAATAAATTATCATGATGACTTATTCTCATGTCAACATGCCATGTAAGCCTGAAGTCCCCATTGGCTATTTTATGTCCTTGCCTTGGGAGTCATACAGCATTACTTCTGCTGTAGTCATAAGCCTACCTGGACTCAAGGAGTGGGGACCTAGGCCCCCAGTTCTTGATGAGAAGAATCAGAGTCACATTGTAAAATAGCATGTAGACTAAGATACATTGTTGAGGCTGTATTTGGAAAATAGAATCTCCCATAATATGTAATTGGATAATCCTTGTTTTTTTAACTGGAGAGTATAATTTGATATGTCAATTGATATGATATTTTAATCTTTACATTTGATATGACTACTGTTTAGATTTATTGCCAGCATTTCTATGTTGAGTTTGTTTAAACTGAATTGTTTCTCTCTTCTTTTTTCTGTTTCTCTTCTGCCTTTTAGTAAATCAACCACATTTTGTTTATTTAAACTCCACCACTGTTTGGAAGTTAAAAATTATCTCACCATCTCAGTAGTCATCCCTTAAATTTTGAACACCCACATTTGACTGACAGTCTAAAGGTATCAATATTTCTATCTTTCTTCCAAACCATAAGAGAAACTTCACACACTCTAATCCTGTTTTTTTCCTCCATTCCCATCCTCTGTGTAATTGTCTTATATTTTAGTTGTGTTTATTTTAACCCCCATCAGCCGGTCTTATTTCTGTTTTGAAAATCAAATAATTATTTTGATTTACCCATATATTTACCAAAGTTTTGTTCACTATTGTTTCTTGTATATCACTCCTTCCTTTTCTTTCAAGAATATGCTTTAGTAATACCTTAAGGTGATCTATTTGAGTGATAAACTTCATCAGTTTTTTTGTTTTGTTTTGTTTTGTTTTGTTTTGTTTTTTTGTTATTTTTGAGACGGAGTCTCACTCTGTTGCCCAGGCTGGAGTGCAGTGGCGCGCTCTTGGCTCACTGCAAGCTCCGCCTCCTGGGTTCACTGCATTCTCCTGCCTCAGCCTCCCCAGTAGCTGGGACTACAGGCGCCCGCCACCACACCCAGCTATTTTTTTTGCATTTTTAGTAGAGACGGGGTTTCACCGTGTTAGCCAGGATGGTCTCAATTTCCTGACCTCATGATCCGCCCGCCTGGGCCTCCCAAAGTGCTGGGATTACAGGCGTGAGCCACCGTGCCCAGCCAACTTCATCAGTTTTTATTTGGAAATGTATTTATCTTACCTTCACAACTGATATACTCAACTGGACTTATAACTTTAAAATGGCAACTATTTTTTCCTCAACACTTTGAAGAAATATTTATATTATGTTCTGGTACTTATTGTTGCTATTGAGAAGCCTGCTACCAGTAGAATTTTTATTGTTTAATTTGCAATTCAATTTGTATTAACACCTCAAGGCTTGGAAAAAAGAGAGAATACTCATTGTAGGTAGTCTGTCTTTTCTCATTGATTGCTTTAAAGATATCCTCTCTGTGCAGTTTTCATTATGTGCTTAAGCATGTGATTACTATTATAAAATTCAGTTTATGAAGATTCCTAGCATTCTTCAGTTCTGGAAAGTTTTAACACTCATGTATTTGATTATTTTCTCTTTCAAATTCTTTTTGTCTTTCTGGACATTCTTTCTATCATCTATTGAGTTTTCCTATTCTACTCTTCATAACTCTCAACCTCTCAGTTATATTTTCAATGTGCTTCTCTCTGTGTGGTGTATTCTGGGTTAATTTCTTGGTTCTCTTTTTCCAGTTTATGCATTTTCTCTTTAGCTGTGTGTAATCTGCACTGTTGCCTATTCACTGAATTTTTAAAATTAACGAGTATATTTTATACAACTCTATGTTTTATGTTATTCTTTATCCAATCTATTCTTTTTGTTATTTTATTGTGGTTTCTATTCCTTCTTTTATTTTTTAATAATTTAAATATAATTTTTAATGTTTCATGTTGTATGATATCAAGTTATTGGTATGTTAGTCTTTCCTTTTGTTTCATCTGCTAACTTAATTTTATAGTAGCTCATTTCTTGTGTGGATTGAAGTTGTGTATGCGTGTGTTCTCATCTTCAATTGGAATTTTTTTTTCCCTCTGTGTGCACTCACCTAGGCTTACAGAAAGTGTACACGATATGATTATGAAAATTTGAATTGGGATTCCATTCCTACATATGGTGTACGTTAAAGGTTTTGATTTCTCCCAGGATTTCTTTTTTATTGCAAATAGAGTCCCAGGCAGAAAACAAGCTTTCTTGCTGCTTTCCTGGTAGGCCTACTTGTCATGGAAAAGAAGCTCCTTTGAAGACCTCAGCTTCTAGCAAGTCATCTCACTTCTAGCTCTTTATCTTTTAATGTTCCATTGCACATACACAGTGCGTATATCTCCTCTGCTCATGCATGTAGCCCATGATCCCCTTAGACTTCACATTCAAAAGACAAATTCAAAGATAAAATTATTCAGAATATCAAGAGAGTGACAGGAGAGCATTAAGCCAAACATGGGGGTCTTCTGTCCTCACGTTGCCATTAAAACCCCAGATTCAGGGCATTCTGGCCTATATCAGAGCCCAGCATCTCCCTTGGGGCACGGTGGCATCAGCTATCATGACTACTGCTGTGGCTTTGAGCTCTGTCATCATTTCTGATATCTGGGAAGGGCCAGCTTCATGAGATGACCCCCATGTTTAGTTTATTGCTCTCCTATCACTCTCCTGATATTCTGAATAATTTTGTCTTTGAACTTGTCTTTTCAAAGTGAAGTCTAAGGGGATAATGGGGTATGTGCATGAGCAGAGGAGATGTATGCACTGTGTGTGCCTGCCATTCCTTATGCTACATTTCCATGTAGTGCTTGTGATGCCCCATGAAATCAGAGTTCTGCGGACCCACAAAGCATGGGAGTTCAGCAAGACTGAGGTACAAGGTAAGTATATTATGTCTATGATTGGGTAAAGAGAGGCACTGGCAGCCCCAAAAGGTCATACTTTCCACTGGAATCAGAAGTTGCAAAAATGCAGGAAGAAGGCAGTGGCAAGGCTGAGTACAATGGCTCATGTGTTTAATCCCAGCACTTTGGGAGGCTAAAGCAGGAGGAGCATTTGAGGCCAGGAGTTTGGGACCAGCCTGGGCATCCCATGGGATGGGATAGCTAGACCCCATCCCCCATCTGTACAATTTTTTTTTTTTTAATTAGCCAGGCATGGTGGTGCATGCCTGTAATACCAGCTACTTGGGAGACTGAAGCAGGAGGCTCACTTGAGCTCAGGAGTTCTAAGCTGCAGTGAGCTGGGATCATGCCACTGCACTCCAGCCTGGGTGACAGAGTGAGATGCAATCTCTAAAAATCAAAGACGGCAATGACATTCCAAGAAACACAGACAACCAAGGGATTCTATAATAACCTTTGCTATTCATGCTATTTCCACCTATTATCCAACCACTTATGCTGAAAAGATACAGAAGGAAGGGAGCATAGAGCAACCCATAGTTCCTTTTTTCTCTCTGCCCTTTTCTCATCAGTAAGCTGATAGTAGAGAGGGTTGACAGAATGTGTGTATATCAAGAAGAAAAATAGAAGCAGTTGAGTTATTTTTGTGCAGCATTTCTACTCTTCTAATTTCTGACAAGATACATAGACATGCATGAGCTATTAAATACAAATCATACAAGTTTGGATTCCACATGAGTTAAATGCTTTTATATTTGCATTTTAAATTGGCATCATACAATTCATAAAGAAGAATGGTGAAATTTATGCTCATGGCTTAAATTTGTTTTAATTTTTTACTTAGAACCATATTATATAGCATATAAGAAACAACATGGTGAGACAAAAAAGAAACCATGGAAGAAAGGAAAAATGTTATCTTATAGCTCCTTTAACAGCTTTTTTTTTCCTGCTCTTTTGAATAAAAGTCTTACATTTTTGGCTTTCACTGGGCCCAGCAAATTATGTAGCTGTCCCTGAATCTGAGGTTTCCCTGGTTTTCAAATTTAGCTGTGTATTTTATTAAAGTGTTGATTTTTTTTTACAAATAATTCTAGGTGTTTCTTTGTACCCCATCAGCATCTGACTTGATCTTTCACTTTGCTTCTGTCTCCTACTCCCCCTAAATTCCCCTTGCTTGTCCAAGCCATCTGCAGCTTGAGGTCTGAAATAGACCCCAGATGGAAACTGAGCAGTTGGTCAATCTTCTCATGCCCCTAGGAAATACAAGGGTGGGCCCCTGGCTGAGGGCTTTATATTTCACTTTCAAAAAGAATAGCCTCCTTCTCCTTTCTGCCACCCTCATTAGACCAGCCCCTTTGTGGTACCAGCCCTGCACCCACAAATCCAAGAGGTATTGTAGGCAGATATAGGAGCAGGATCAGGAGTTAGGGAATCCCAGGACAGCAGCTGTGATAAGAGTCGGCAACACAGTAGCAATCGGGTGTCCCAAGTGGTGAGGCAATAAGCCTTCCAAATAAGGGCATGGAAAACTCTGGAAGGATTAAAGGGGGAAAGAACAAGGCAAAAGTCACCCAGAAAAGATGAGGGGCAGAGTTAGACTTTTGTCCAGCCTCTGCTCCTTATCCTGGGGCTCCTTTAACAAGACCCCAGATGGTCTCTAGACATACAAGAGCAGTTCCTGAGAACTGGGTTGTGCCAGAGCTCTGGGGGCCCAATCACTTCTGCAACTGGAAAACTCATATGCCACCCCAAATTAATATATTTAATGAAAGGAGAGGAAGGCTATTGGCCAGTTTCCCCTTCCTCTGACTCATCTCTTGGTTTTGCATGGTTCATCTCCACCCACGCTTCATACCTGGATCCTGTCTCTAGATTCCTGATTCTGGAACATCCTAGAACTTAGCCAGGTATTTGTCCTTTGGTCATGCAGGACAGGACATGGAAACCTGCTGAGAACCAAAGGACCCACCCTGAGGAGAAGCACCTGGCCACTCATACCCGAGTTCTCAGATTTGACTCCTTATGACCTTAATTAAAACCATATATTATACCATAACTGTCAGAGGCCTTATATCAGCACCCAGTACCTCCCAGACCTTCCAGGCCCCTACCTCAGCCTCTAGTCTGTTACTTCCTAGGCTGGGCTGGGTTTTGGGATAGAAGGGCCAATGGAGTTGGGCAAAGAAAAAATATGAGTTTTGGAATCAGACCAACCTGAATCTGCATCCTCCAAATCTATCCTCTTGCTAGTTAAGTGTTTAGGCTCAGGTGATTTCATCTCTATGAGCCTCAGTTTTCTCATCTGTAAAATAGGTTAACAGCCAGACCTACCACAAGGGGTTGTGGGGAAGATTGAGAAGCATTAGAGTGTGAACAAAGTTTCTGACCAATGCCAGGCATGATGAGGTAGGCATTTCACAAGCATGGGTTGAATGAGTGAATGAGCTAATAAGTGTTGTATGAAACTCATTTCCAAAGCATTTCCTTCACCTTCCATCTCCTTTGCAACCCTCCTAATCCTAGCTGGAGAGACAGCATAGTACAGAGCTCAAGGTTCAGGATCTGGGGCTAGGTGTTTCTTGGCCCTGCTGCTTCCTAGGTGACTTTGAGATTCAACTTTTCCTTTCTTGCAAGGGGTAGAAATAAGAGCACTTACCTTGTAATTTTGTTTGTGAGAATGACATGACTTATTCTGGGTAAAGCTCTTAGAACAGTGCTTCGAATAAATATTCTTAATACTGGCTGGTTGCCTTTATCATCTCTTATCTGGGATATGGTAATAGCATCTGAGCCGGTCTCTCTACTTCTATTGCCACTGACACCCATCCATTGTTTACAATATCCACAGCATTGATCTCAAAGTGTAGATCTGAACATCTCCCCTCCCTGCCCAAAACCCTCAATAGCTCCCCATGGCTCTTGATGCCTAACATAACCTACAAGTTTTGGCCTCTGCAGACCTCTCCAGCTACCTCCACAACTAGAGCCACTCTCATTTTTGCTTTCCAGCCCATGTCCTCCTCCTTCCTCAGTTGGCTTCTGTTAAGTTCCTCTAATGTGTAGTGCTCCCTCCTGCCACAGAGCCTTTGCACATGCTGTTCCTCTGCCTCCTCCCCTTGGCTTACTAATTCCAGCTCAAGAGTTACTTCCTCAGGGCAGCCTTCTATGGTGACACAGAGTAATTGAGGTTCTCTCATGATATAGTTTGGATGGATGTTCATCCCCTCCAAATCTCATGTTGAAATGTGGTTCCCAGTGTTGGAGGTGGTGCCTAGTGGGAGGTGATTGGATCATGGAGGCAATGAATGGGACAACCAGATCTCATGTGAACTCACTGAACAAGAACTCACTTATGACCCCTCACATGAGATGTGGTTGTTTAAGAGTTTGGGATGTCCTTCTTGCTTCCTCTCACCATGTGACATGCTTGTTCCTGCTCCATCTTCCACCATGAGCAAAAGCTCCATGAAGCCTCACCAGCAACTGAGCATGTATGGGCACCATGCCTCCTGTACAGCCTGCAGAACCATAAGCCAATTAAACCTATTTCCTTTATAAATTACCCAGCCTCAGGTATTTTTTATAGGGATGCAAAAATGGACTAACACATCTTGTTGCTTATGGTACCATACACTTGTTCTTCATAGCACTTGCCATTTATATGGTTTTATGTTTAATGGAGTGATTGATGTCTCTCCTTCTCCAGAAATGAGGAGCTTCATGAGAAAAGGAACTATATTCCCTGCCAATCCCAGTCAGGTTGGCCCTACTTCCAACACAACCAGATCCCGAATTTTTTGTAGGGTGTTGCGGGGGGGGTGGGGGGTGAGCACGGTTTAAGGTTTAGGTATCTTAAGGTTCACTCTGTGCTATGGTTTCAATGTCCCCTCTAGAACCCATGTTAACATTTAATTGCCACTGTGATGGTATTTAGAGGTAGGATCATTAAGAGGCTATTGGGCTATGAAAATTCCACCTTCGTGAATGGATTAATGTTGTTATCATGAATGTGGGTTCATTATCAGAACAGTGAGTTGTTACAGAAGTGATTCTGGCCCTCTCTGTCTCTCACTTTCAACCCTATTTGCTGCTCCACCTTTCACTATGGGATGATGTAGCATGAAGGCCCTAATCAGATGCCAGTACCTTGATGTTGAACTTCCCATCCTCCAGAACTGTGAGCCAAATAAATTTATTTTCTGTATAAATTATTCAGCTTTTGATATTCTCTTCTAAGCAATACAAAATGGACTAAGACAGTCTGGTACCAAAGTGTTTGCCCACAGGGAAGGCTAGAATAGTAGGGTATGCAGGCTTATACCCTTACCCAGTGGATGGTGGGAATTGGTGTATAAACACACAGTTCCCTCACCTTTTAGGTGGGGTAACCCTGACATATGTGTTCTACACTGGTTCCCAGAATTTTCCCAGTGGGATTAAGCTCTATTTGTTCATGGTGGTAGCTGGCCTGATAATACATCCTTGATTATTTATCTTTTTTTCCTGGTTTCACTTCTCCATTTCCTGATGCATGTTTCTATCATTTCCCATATAAACAATTTATATTCAGATATGATTGGGTGTGTTCAGGGTGATATGGTCATAGACAACAACTTATATTCAAACCCCCTTTCTCAGGGTCTATTTCTGGAGAAATTCAAACTAAGCCATCATCATTTCCCCAGTACCTAGCATGATACACAACATGTAGTCAGTACTTTACAAAAATATTTCATAAATGAATGACTGAATGAATAAATAAATGCATTTATATAAAGAAAACTTCCAATGGTAGTAGCTCTTTGGTGTTTGGTTGGGTTCATGGAAGTTATTCAGGGTAACTTACTACCACTGTTGGGGCCTCAGTTTCTCCATCTATAAAATCACCAATGGAGGAGCTGGGAATTTAGAAAGAAGTGACATAGGAGGCCTCTAATCAGGTGGTTTTCACCAGGGGGTAAATTTTGCTCCCAAGGGGACATTTGTCAATTTGGGGAGATATTTTTGGTTGTTACAACTTAGGGAGAGGGCTGTGCTGCTGGCATCTAGTGGGTAGAGGCCAGAGATACTCCTAAACATCCTACAGTCCACAGGACAGCCCCCCGCCCCCAAGAATTATCTGGTCTAAAATGCCAATGGAGCTGAGGTTGAGAGATCCTGCTTTAACTTCTTTCTGCTCTAAAAGCCTCCAATTCAATTATACCCTCACCTAATGGATGATGGGAAACTGTACCCAAAGGGGTACAATTTCCTGATCTAGCTCCCAGTGAGCTCAATTACTGTAGTTTGTTTATACATGCCCCTTTTAAATATCCTTTTATTTCTAAAATCAGGAGGTGTCTTACAATGACTGTTGCATCATAGCTTAATTGACAAAGGTCTTATTTCTTGTTTGCTTAACGATGTGGTATGTTATTTCCCCTCCTGGATTTGTAGTTCACTGGACACTAGAGAGTGCTGTGCTGTTCCAGGGATCCTTGAGACTGTGTCTAAGCCCTGCAAATAAGAATCCACACTTTACCAGCCCGCTGTCCTACTGAAAGTGTTCTAATCAAAATATAAAACTATTGTGTTCTAATCAAAATGTAAAACTATCAGCCTTTTTTCTTTTCACTTGCTCTGGCCTAAATTCTTATTTTTGTCTCTTTCTCCCTACAAGCAAAGCTGTTCTTTACTGACATCATCAACCTTCTCATTCAGTCTTGGGATACCACCCAGCAGGTGCCCCCAAACCTTGAACTCTCAGAGAAGCCATGGTCCATCCCAACTTAAATGAAACTCAGACACTTTAGAGGAAGTCCCAGGAAAGCCCAAGGCTCCAGATGGTCTACATAGCACTGAAGCACCGCTCCTCTGAACTGGACTTGTTTATTGCTCCCCAGTAGGGAAGACCCTATGGAACATCCTAATGATGACTTGACATCGGGTAGACCAAATGTTCATGTCCATTTTTCCCACCAATCACAACTCTCTTAAAGTTAGTAGTCACTTGGGAGACCATTAAGTCATCCTCCTGGTTCCAGGAAAGGGGTCTTTTTATTATTATGCTTTGTGATTCAGCTCTTGTCCCAAATACTCTATGAACCCCCCAAGTTGAGTTAACTGTTCCCCTCTGTGTTGCCATGGCCCCTGGATTTCCCTACACCACAGCACTCATCACAATAAATCATAAGTGTCTTTCAGTTTGCCTTTCTCCCACTAGGTCAATGTTCTCAAACTGAAGCCTGAGTCAGAACCCCATGCAGGGCTTATTAAACATAGATCTGGGCTCCACCCTACAGATTTCTGATTGAATAGTTCTGGAATGGGAACAAGACTTTGCATTTCTAACAAAATCCCAGATGCTGTTGAGGTGTTTGTTCAGGACCACACTTTGGGAGATACTGACCTGGACATGATTTCCTTAAGGTCAGAGATTTTGCCTTATTAAAATTTCTAGATTCCTAGCACATAGCAGGTAAATTTGCTAAATAAATTTAATCATGTATTACTGAAATGCACCTTCTGTGCTAAACATAGCATTAAGCTGTATAAAAAGTGGCATAAAATGAGTGGAGGTTGGCACTGTGTCTTGCAGGAGGTACTATCCCAATCGTTTATCTAACACTAAGGGCATCTTTTACTTTTTGTTCCCCAGAGTCTACACTTGGCACTTTACACATATTGGCCCTTTTAATCCATCCCCACCAAACCCAGTAACATATGCTCTATTATCCCTATTTTTCAGAGGAGTTAGCAGAGACAGAGTAAGTCTCTGATATTCAGTGTGAATTTTCTTACCCCGGAGTCCTTGAGTTAGGACAGGAGACATTTAATTAAAACTGTGTGTTAAATAGAATAAATTTTCCTAGAGGTTCAGTTTTACTGAAGGGTTTGGGAAAGGGTTTGTTTTGACACATGCATATAAGTAAATTAATTGGCAGGAGTCTGGGTTTTTTTTCATATTGACTATATCAAAATAACTTTTACCACAAAATGCAATACTTCACGGGCATTTTGCCATAATGTTCTTGGAACTTCCTGGTAGTAAAATTCACTCTCCTCCAATTCTGGCCGGACTTGAGTGAAGTCACTTTCCCCATAATGGGATTCAAAGGTAGTTTGGTCTCAATTCCAAGCCTCTGCTTTTAGCCAGTTTTTGTTTGTTTGTTTTTGTTTTGTTTAGTTTATGTGTTTGTTTTTATTTTAGTAAAAAGGGACAAGGCCGGTATAGGGAAGGTTGGCCAATTTTTTTTTTTTTTTTTTTTTTTTTTTAACAAAGGCCCTAGGAGTCTGGTATAGAGGAGATAAAACTGGAACCCTTTCAAAAACTCTTGGAAATGCATCTATAGCAAGTATTGCTTTGCCTGTTGAATATCCATTGCCCCATCACCCTTGTTATTAAAATGACAATTTTGTTTGGGGCAACAATAATCCCGGTCCCAAGGGATAAATCATCCTTATTCTAGGCAAATCATTGCTAGCCTATTCTAGTGTTCCAGAGACTGTCTTTCATAGCCTCCCTTGCAACTGGGGATAGCTGTGTTATACCCTTTTGGGAAGGATAAGAAGGCAGAGCTTTTCAAGTAAACTTTGTGCTCTAGCTTCAGGTTTCTTGTTTGGAATGCTGGTGTGATGTCTGGAGTTGTGGTAGCCATCTCAAGACTGTAAGAGGAAAAACATGAGAAATGAGAGTCAACAGGATAAGAAAAAGTGAGACCAGGATTTTAATGCTATTGCTAAGCTGCTGTACCAGCCTCGGACTGTTCATTGCTGGTCTTATTTCAGTTAGCAATAAACATCCTTTAGGTTTAAACCACTACTTGTAGCCATAAGCATTCCTAATTGAGAGATAATCCCCTTTGTTCTCCTGAATAGAGAATGCTCAGGAAGGGCTTATCCTAATCCAACCAGTTAACCTGTTTATTTTCTGCTGTAGTTGAAACTTTGTCTATTTAAAAATCTAAATTTCAAGCAATGAATTTCCTATGTTCCTTCATTCAATAATTATCTATTGAGTACCTTTTACATGCCAGACAATCCTATAGACATTGGAATTTGGCAAGGGACAAAAGAGATAAAGTCTGTGTTCTCATAGGGCTTACATTCTAGTGCTGGGAAACAGAAAACAGAACAAAACACAGAAATATATCAAGTGCTATGGTGTTACGAAAAGGAGGAGAGAAGATCACAGCAGGCTTGAGAATAATGGAGGTAGAATTGCATTGCTAATTTACATATGGTGGTCAGTGAAGGTCTCTGATAAAATTATATTTGAGAAGGAATCCAGAAGGAGGGAGGAAGATAGAGAAACACTAGACAGACTATCTGAGGGAAGGGAATTCCAGCAGACAGAAGAAACTGCAAGTTCAAAGGCCTGGAGGTGGGAGCTTGCTTCTGTCTTAGCTATGGAAAGGAGGCATCTGTGACTGTAAGTGATGAGGAGAGTGATGAGAGCTGAATGAATGATGCAGTGAGGGGCTTGCAAGCCATGGTAAGAATTTCTCTGCAGACTTGGAAGCCACATCCTCACAGGCACCTCTGATTCCCAGTTCCTCAAGCTCTCATGTGCATCTTATACCTGCCCATGTCTGTTGTCTCTGGGGCATTCCATACCAACCCTAGCACAGCACCTAAGACATAGTTGGTGCTCAAAAACTCGTTGAATGTGTGAATAAACACCCTTGATTTATACGAGACCAACCAATGAAAATGAAAATCCACTCACTGCCTTCTGTCTTTGGGCAAGTGACCCAACCTCTCTATGCCTCAGTAAAATAGGGATCATTGTGATAGGATCCCTTAGTGTTATGAGAACACCTGGACACAGGGCAGGGGACATCACACACTGGGGCTTGTCGGGGGGTGCAGGGCTTGGGGAGGGATAGTGTTAGGAGAAATACCTAATGTAAATGACGAGTTGATGGGTGCAGTAAACCAACATGGCACATGTATACCTATGTAACAAACCTGCATGTTGTGCACGTGTGCCCTAGAACTTAAAGTATAATAAAATATATATATAAAGAATATTAAGAGTAATAAACAATAGGTAACATTCTAAATACCTGCAACCCTATACGTGAGTCATCATCCCCATTTTACAGATAATGAAACTGAGGCTCAAAGTGCTTTAGTTATTAGCCCAAGGTTCCCCAGCTACTCAGTGGTAGATTCAGAATTTTAACTGCCAAGCTCTGGGATGGTCCCCACAGCTATTCCTACAGAGATGATGCATGTGAATAGACCAAAACCTTACCAAACACTCAACAAATGGTAGCAGTGACTGTGTTTGTGATGGTTGCTGTTTGGTGATATTGTTATTACTGTTATGAGTATGGTGCCCAGCTGCCCAGGTAACCAATGCCTCTCTAAAAGGATGGGTGAAATGGATACCGTATTGGAGCACAGAACAAAGAAAGCAAAGGAAATTCTGCCTGGCTGGTGAGATAGCTATATACATGTCCCAAGGGCCCAGCTTGGCTTGGGAGAGGGGGGCTGGGTGTGGAGAGATGTGGAGGAGAAAAGTACCCTCAACCATCCACCCCAAATCTCATAAGCCAGGCAAACCACATGCCCCCAGCTGAGGAATCACATAACCATGGCAGCTGTCCAGGGCAGAAGAGGCCCGCACCTGTTTGCAATGTAATTTAGCTATTATCAGCTTTCGCATTCAGCTGAAATTCAAAGACTGAAGAAGGGGGATGATGGGAGTGAGGATGCATGAGGGGGGTTAGGAAGTTGGAGAAGTAAGATGATCAAATGTCCTAAATTGCCTCCACTTTAATGCCTTATATAAAAATTTCCTGTAATGCATGTTACCATAAATAAGGGATTGTTGGACAAGCCCTGGGCAAGATAGTTTGCTAGCTGAACTCTCCCATAGGGAAGGTTTGGAGCCTGCCTGGTGATGTCCCACTTCTCAAATTATCTTGTTGTAAATGTCTGGCTCCCAAAGCCTAGAATTTACTGGGCTGAGCACAGCTATATCATATTCTCCACTGGGCACCATTTAGGATTCACTGCTCACAGGAGGACCAACTCCCTTCTGGCCCCATCTCTGCTTATGGAGATGTTGGAGAGGGGGAATTTCATTACCCGCAGAATTCAATCTAGCCCACCTACATCCCAAAATCAACCTGTCAGGACTGGTGAGGACCGACAGCCTAATCCTCAGTCCTGGCTGTGAGGAACCTGGCCAGATATTGGGGTCACTGGGGCACATGTTGACAGTTCATATGGAAAACTGTGCAGGATACACCTGGACAATTAGTCCCAGTTTTTCTCGAGGGAAAGATGGAAGGGGCCATTTCTTTGTTGATAAGATTCAGAGTCAACTGGCAGTTTATCCTGGGTCTGCTGAATATCCAAGAATTTCCCTGGGCTCTCATAACGGTGGTGATGGTGGTGATGATAGAAGAAGGAAAGAAGGAAGAGCCAGCACTTACTGAACATTTACTACATGCTCTTCACGTGCCTTGCATTATTTGATTCTCATAACAACCCTACGAGCCAGACCCTGTTATCACTTCTTATTACAGATAGAATAACAACTGAAAATTTAACTCATTTGCCCCCTTCTCATGACTTTGATTTCATTTTCATGCCAACCCTGGTAGGTCAATATCATAATCTCCATTTTTGGCAAATAAACAGAAGTGAAGAGCTATTGATGAGTTCATTGCTTTCACAGTCACTGAGTGCCTCCTATGTGTCAAGCCCTGTTCTGAACCCGTGGCTATGCCAACAAACACAATGGACAAGATCTCTTGCCTTGTGGAGCATGAATTTTCACAACTTTTGCTCACAGAAAGGATGGAAACTCAGAGCTGGTCTCCAGAAGCATTGTAACAATACTAATCCGGAAATAGTGCAATCATTGGGGTAGAGAAGAGGCTTAACAGGTGTCTTTGCTGGGATTCCCCACCAAATCAGATCCTGAGACAAGGGCTTCTGGACAGATAGTTTATTTAGGAGGTGATCCCTGAAAGCAGGAGTGAGGGATCATGGAGAGTGGACTGGGGGAGAGGGAGAGCTGATATAAGGATGGATTATGGAGGTGGCCCTGTTATGGCTGACTGATGTTCAACTGATAGGGACTTTCCAAGAACCATATGGGATGCTTGTTGGAATTGTCCCTTCAAGAGATAAAAGGGAGAAGCATGTAACCATCAGTTTCTATCATCCATTGGTTAAGGGCTGCCCCATGGGGCTTAACCTTTCACACACTTCCAGAGTGTTGCATGTGTGCGTGACATACAGTTTCTTTAGCAATCCAATGCCATGCGTTTGACCAACCCAGGGTAGGAAATGAGCAACACAGAACACAGACTTGAGGTTTGCGGTAGCCATGAGAGTTACAGATGGGGTCAGGAGGACATGAGTCCATGCCCAATAAGTATCTTGTCATCTTTGCATTAGTCAGGACAGGCTTGGTTTTGCTGAAGTAATGAACACTCCCAAATTCTCAGTGGAATCAGCCAACATCTGTTAAACTACCTGATACCTAGCACTCCAAATACATTATATAATTTAATCTTCAAAAGTATCCTGGAAAGCAGATATTATTATGTACTTAACTGATAAGATAACTCAGGTTTAGAGGAACAAAATAATTGCCCAAAGCCACTCACCTAATTGGTGGTAGAACCAAGATTTGGACCCAGGAATGGATGGCTTTTACAATGTGTGCTTTCAATGTTGTGTTTGTCAGAACCTAGGACATCAAAGGAGGGTCTTCAGGGGTCATATAGATATTGCTTTGGATTTCATTTTTAAATAACTTTTCCTGTTTCAAAAACTATAAGTTTAAAAAATTCACTTTAAAGAGGTATATGTCAGGTTTTAACAAATAAGAGACATCCCAATTATGTCAGGTTGCCTCATTTTCTTTGGATCTGGGCATAAAACATCTCCTGCCATGATTGTCTAAATGAAGAGAGTGATAGTCATTTGCATCATCTGTGAAATATTTCCACATTCCATCTTCCAGGGATGGTAGGATTACACTTGATCCCCTTCTGGGTGAGTAGGGCCCTGTGACTAGTTCTGGCCAATGAGTTATGATTTCCAGGCCAGAGCATTTTATTGCTAATGAGATCCATCCAACGCTCTCTGCTGGCTCTTCTTCTGAGGCAATGTTCCCGATAGTGGTTCCTCTGTTCTCCTAGGTCCAGGACTAAGGACCATGGAGAAAAGAGTCCCCTGTTGACCTGCCTTACACTTGTGTTGTGAATGAGAAATAAGCTGTTGTAATACTAAGCCACTGAGATTTGGGGTTGTTCATTACTGCAGCAAAGCTTAGCCTACCCTGATTGATTAGAGATTGTCCCAAGATTGCAAGGTATTATAGATTAGGTTCTCTGGAATAGGATGCTGAGACAGAATTTAGAGTTCAAGACATTTATTAGGTAACAGCCACTCATGAAAGAGAGAGGAAGCAGAATTGGAGAGAGGAAGGAATTGAACTATGTTCCTGGCCAAACAAAGCTTTGGCCAACTCAGAGAAATCTCTAGATTGAGTATTGTCTATGACAGTGCCTTATGCTGGAGCAAAATGATTGGACCTTTATGCTTCTTCCTTGCTCAGTCACTGCATACAGGATGGCATAACCTTGGGTAGAGCAGCTGTTCACAGTTAAGGCAGGCCCTTATCGAGGTGGCAGACGGTGGCCACCTGCTGACCACACTCTGCATGGCTAGGCAGAATATCCTCCCTTAAGGGGGAAGTGAGCAGCATCTCTTATCTACTACACAAGGAATTTTTTTCTGAAGTTTTTGTTACATGCAACCCTTATCTGTATGAACCAGAATCCTAACTCTATCAAGCAGAGCTTTTGGTCACTAGCCCCAAAGTCAATCTCAGATGATTAAAGCAGAACAGGGGTTTACCCATTGAGTGCTAGAATTGTTGGCAAGGCCAGAGTGTCAGGTGGATGTATAAGCAAGCCAGAGGGAAGCCCAAACTCAAGCCACAGAACTTGCCTGCTGAGGACAGTGCTGCCACATCATGCAGCATTTAGTTAGTTATGCAACTGCTATTTTTGAATTTGGCACTCCATCCCACACCAACTGCTGCAGGGAAGAGAAAGAGAGGAAATGGGGAGGAGAACACCATGGCCGCTTTAACTTCTTATGTCTTCTATTCCCATTTGAAGTTTAGCTTGGGTGCATAGGGAGTGCCCTGGTCACCTGTCAGCACCCTGCTTGCAAGAGATGCTTGGAACACAAGAACCTGCCATTCAGTTTCTGTAGAGCAAGGTGGTCTCTGCCTTCTCCAAGAGTTATAAAGTGCAGAACTCCTCAAACAGGAAGAATATTCAGAGTCTGAGCAGCCAAAAAAAAAAAAAAGTGATGCATCCATTCTATGCATGGGTAAATGAAATGAAGTTCAGAAATGAATTGGATGCTGGGAATACTAAGAAGTGGCTTTGTTCATCCCTTCCATGGGTGACATTCTCCTCCCTAAGCTGAAGTTCTCTCCTGAAGTCAGCGTTCCTCTTGGCTATAGGGAGGATAAAGTCCAGGCTTAATGATAGCAGACATGGCTCACCAAGGACAACATGATGGACAAACAGAATTTCTTCTCCTGCAACCCAAGTTATGAGCAGGGGAACCCAGGAAGGTCTATCGGAAAAGGGCTCACCCCAGTGCATGGCCAGGAATTCCTGGGGGCAGATTTAGTGTATGTCTCTATCTAGCCAATTCATTGATTCCTCAAATACTTACAGAGCCTCTGCCATGTGTCAGGCTCAGCAGCGATGCAGGAAGTGCACTGGCTGTGCCTTTACGGTGCTCCTGATCCAGGGCTTTTAAGTGGCTGCTCTTTGTCACATCTTTTTTCTGGCAGCGTGGAGAAATGGTTCTATGTCTGGTCTTTGCCATCAAAACAGCTGAGTTCAAACCCCCCAGCCCGCTCATTTCTAGTTGGGGAACCACAGCCAAATCACTTCACCTCTCTTGGCCCCAGCTTCCTCATATATAAAATGAGATTAATGATACTGCCTACCTCCTAGAGTTACCATTAGGATTCACAGAGATAAAACAAAGCTCAGGGCCTGGCATGAATTTTGTTCAATAAATATTAGTTATTGTTATCATCAGCTGGGAAAGGGAGGGTGAGGGTGGGTGTTGCCCATTCTTGGCTTCCTGATTTTCACCCTATAGTTCTCATTTCCCACATCCTGCAAGGGATAGACCTCATTACTATCACCTAAGGGCAGTGAGGCTGAGAGATATATTACAAAAACAATAGCAATAACAACAGCAATCATAGCAACTCTAATTATTGAGCGTCTGCTAAATATCATGCTCCATGCTATGCTTTGCTTAGCATATTTTTTTTTTTCTTGAGATGGTGTCTCACTCTTTCTCCCAGGCTGGAGTACAGTAGCATGATCTTGGCTCACTACAACCTCTGCCTCCTGGGTTCAAGCGATTCTCTGCCTCAGCCTCCTGAGTAGCTGGGATTACCGGTGTGCGCCACCATGCCTGGCTAATTTTTGTATTTTCAGTAGAGACAGGGTTTCACCATGTTGGCCAGGCTGGTCTTGAACTACTGACCTCAGGTGATCCACCCACCTTGGCCTCCCAAAGTGTTTGGATTACAGGTGTGAGCCACTGCACCCGGCGTTTGCTTAAACTCGTGCTACGCGAAATATGGTCCCCAGATGAGCAGCATCCGCATCCCCTGAGAGCTGCTTAGAAATGCAGAATCTCAGGCACCACTCCAGACCTATCTCTTATACTTCCTTGGGGAATGGAAGTTTCCAGGCATTTCTGCTTTCTGGAGATTCAGGAAAAGTGGATTCTGGCAGATGAGGGCAGCCTGCTTACAAAGAGACCCAGGGGTTGCTATGAAAGGAAAAGCACAAAGCAGGGGGTAGAGTATATATGGCAGTGATACAGAGATCTGGGGAGAATGGATGGAGAAAAAACATCACGAAAGGTCCAGGTCCTTTCAGATGGAAGGAAGGTGGAGGGCGAGAGCGGACTGAATAGCTAATTGCAGCACCAGGGATTGAATTCCCTTGCCATAATTTAAGGCTCGACTATGTAAGGGTTGACTGAATTCAGTACATGATGCTGCAGTTAGCTATTTGTGTTTTCAAGTCACCTGTATTTTCGTACATAGTATTATGAAAAATAATTGCAGACTCGCAGTTATATAATGCTTCTTTCTGCTGGACTCTCTATAATAAAGATCTTTCCCACAGCTCTAAGTGTGTCTTGGCATGGTAAACCAAAAATAAAACATAACACTCAACTTTCAGATGCATGAAGACAGGCAATCCTGGGCTCGCTGGTTTGCAGCTGCATCCCCAGTGCTTAGAATGGTTCCTGGTGCATAGTAGGTGCTCAATAAATATTTGTTTGAGGAAATGAATAAGTGGTTGATCCAAATTGACAAGACCCGAGCTAAACATCACAGAGAAGCGCTGTTGAGCATGGAAGCCAGACTCAAATCAGCAAGTTGCTGGACAATCAAAATAATTTATAGCAGCTGTTCGCAACTGCTGGTTGTGAACAAAAAAAGGTCAGGCTCTCTCAACACACACACGCAGAGCTGTGTTGCTAGGCTTTATACACGATAGGCTTTTTCTTATCTATGGTGCTAATTATTATGCCTACATTATTATAGTAATAACAGAAATTGTGTTTTCTATTGATCTCTAGGAATGAATTGATTGATTTATGTTATAAACATGCAGACTAGAAAAGATGTTTTTAGAGAAAATGGTTAACAGTGAGCGCTGAACCACCTCTTTTTCCCACGTGGAATGGTCAGCCTGAAGCAGGACAATCGTGCCAAAGCCCAGTTGGCTTCATCTGTCTTTAGAGATCAGAGAAACTCGTCATTTGAGAAAAGCCAGGCTGGGCTGAAAGAGAGGGGCTCTGCAGGACCTCAACCTGAAGCCCCATCCCAAGAGAGTTGGGCTGGCCTTTTAACCAGCCCTTCACCTTTGGTGCCCGAAGTGCAGACAGTTGACATCCTTTCCACCATCCACTTTCTCAGTTGGCTCAAAGAGAACATCCCCCACAGATGTAGGCTATAACCCCCATGAACCTTCTGGCTTACCATTCTGTTTATACACATTCTTTTATTTACCATTGTAGATGGCACCAAGGGAAGGAAAGAAAATGGAGAGAGGAAAGGAAAGGGGAAAGAGGGAGAGTAGGAGGGAGGAAAATGGGGGAAGGAAGGAAAGGAAAAAAAAGGAGGGAGGAATGAAAGGGAGGAAGGGCGGGTGGGCAAAAATAAAGGGAGAAAAGAAAGACGGGGATGTAGAAAAAAAGAAGGAAGAAAGGAACCGGATGAGGAATGGAAAGGAGGGAGGAAGGAAGGATCTCAGATATATTCCTGCCTTCTCTGTATTCTGGCCTGTATCTCAGAGAATTACATTTCCTAGGCTCCTTTGCCCTCTGGGTAGGTTTGGACACTGGGAGGGCTTTGTAGGAAACTGGAGGGTGGAAGAAGAGGCAAATCCAGAGTCAGTCTCTCTCTCTCTCTCTCTCTCTCTCTCTCTCTCTCTCTCTCTCTCTCTCTCTGTCTTTCCCTACACTCCCCCTCCTATCTCCCTCCCAGCTTTCTCTCTCCTTCCTATGGCATCTCCAGCAGTGACTGGGTCTCCTCTGTGGCTCCAGCTCCTACCAGAGAAGTCCCCCTCCATGGTTGCAGCTCCTACCAAGTAGCCATCACTATGGTTCTAGTTCCTTCTGGATGGTTCTGAGTTCCAGTGCTACCACCTCCTCCTCCTGTTTTTCCAGTCCTAGGGGCAGAAGCAGCTGCTAGATGCTGCTCATCTCTGGGTAGCATCATCATTTCTTGTTTGGCTTCTCAGCTCCTCTATCAACTGTGTAACCAATTCCCTGTATTAAATACCCTCTGCTTGAAAATCGTGGACTGCTTTGTTTTGTTTTATTTTGTTTTCTTGACTAGATTCTGACTGGTATTTATGGTCTCACTAAATCAGTTTTTAAAATTATGGGCCAGGTGTGGTGGTTCGCACTTGTAATGCCAGAACTTTGGGAGTCTGAGGTGAGAGAATCACTCGAGACCATGAGTTCAAGACCAGCCTCGCCAACATAGCTAAACCCCATTTCTACAAAGAAAAAAAAAGAAAAGCTGGATGTGGTGACCCAGGAGTTTGAGGCTGCAGTGAGCTTTGTTCAGGCCACTGTGCTCTAGGCTGAGTGACATAGCAAGACCCCATGTGTAAAAAGAATTAATTAATGGGGTGAAGCTTAGTTGAGAACAAGTTATATTTGAGGAAAATATGGAAGAAGTTCAGAATTTAGGCACTGTGGGGATAAAATGAGGGTCTTGAAAAGTGGGAGAAGTGGGAGATGATGGTAAAAAGAAGGTAGGATAATGCTAGAAACATAAAAACAGATCTTATCTACATTACATACTATATTATCTTGCTCTGTTTTCTTTTCTCTTTTTCTTTTTTTTTTTTCTTACAGATAGGTCACCTACAGTGGAGTGCAGTGGTGTGATCATAGCTCACTGCAGCCTCAACCTCCTGGGCTCAAGAGGTTCTCTCGCCTCAGCCTCCTAAGTATCTGGGACCACAGGCATGCGGATTCTAACCAAGGTGTAAGCCACAAATGGTTTTCTTCTTTTCCCCTTCTAGGAGTCTTTGTGTTTGAACCAAAATCCAACTGTAATCCACAGACATCAAGCTCTCATGTCAACAGGACAGAATACTATAAGTAGAAGTTTTTCAGGTACCTTGCAATCATGCTTCAAGGGCAGAAGTTACTGCAGCCACTTGCACAATGGTGTCAGACTGCATTCTGGGGAGAGTAAGAGCTGGCAGAGTGGTGAAAACAGTGGCTCAAAAACTTGAGCATGTGACAGAATCGCCTGGGCAATAGATGGTTGACTCACAGATTGCTGGGCTCTACCCTCAGATTTTCTGACTCAGTAGGTCCAAGGAGAGGCCTGGGCATGTGAATCTCTAATACATGCTCAGGCAGTGCTGACTAGTATTGATGATCTGATGCTACTGGTCTGGGGCTCACACTTTGAGAACCACTGGGTTAAAAGAATCATACGTAGTTACTGAGAACTTATTCTACACCAAGATCTGTCTTCAACTCTTTTCAAATATGACATCATTTAACTACTAAATGATGGACCCCACAACAACTAAATGAGGACCCTGGAGGAACCAAGAGGCTAAAAAGCATCTTCAAGTCATGCCCCTCGTACCTGGTGGAATCAGGATTGGAGTCCGGAGTGCTGGCTCCAGAGCCTGTACTTCCCACATGGGATGCATGCTACATCGTGTCCCAAAGGTCCAGGCTGTAGGAGATGGAGACACTTGGGTTCCAGCTTTGCTTTCAGCTGTGGGATCCTGGGAAAGTCGCTTGGCTTCTCTGTGCCTCGATTTCCTCATCTGCAGAAGGGGGATCCTAACAGCCACCACCTCATAGTGTTGTCACAGTGACTTCATGAGCGAATGAAGCAGAGGCAGATTACCTGAACAGGGGACAGTTCCTGGGCTTGCTGGCAGAGTCTCTCCTCTTCTCTGCCTAAGGGCTCTGCCCCACCTCATGGCAGCCTGCACTGCCTTCCTGTCTCTCTTTGGGATGGTTCAAGGGTGCATTCTATGCAGCTCCCCAGTGGAAATCCAAGGGGACTGAGCTGGGGGGTTGAGTGCTTGCTGTTTTCCTCCCTTACTCTGGTCCCTCTCTCCCTCTCCATACTTCTGCTTCTGAGGATCATGATCAATTCCCAAATAAACCACTTACATCTATGTCCCTGTTTCAAGCTTTGCTTTGAAGCTTTGTTTTGGAAAACCCACATCAAGAAAATGACATATATAAACTATTTAGCCCACTGCCTGGCAGGCTGTATAAGAAGAAGAAAAATAAGAACACTAGCAGCAGGCTCAGTGCAGTGGCTCACACCTGTAATCCCAGCACTTTGGGAGGCCGAGGTGGGAGGATCACTTGAGCTCAGGAGTTCAAGACCAGCTGAGCAACATAGCCCAAAATACAAAAATTAGCCGGGCATGGTGGCACATGCCTGTAGTCCCAGCTATTTGGGAGTCTGAGGTGGGAGGACCTCTTGAGCCCGGGAGGTCAAGACTCTCCAGCCTGGATGACACAGTAAGACCCTGTCTCAAAAAAAAAAAAAAAAAAAAAGAAAGAAAGAAAGAAAAGAAAAGAATAGTAGCAGCTCTTCTTAAATGCCAGGCCCTTTACATACATTGCTTATTTAATATGCATCCAATAAATGTAGCTGCTATTGTTTTATCATTATCCTCATCATCCTTACTACTTCTCATAGATGTAGCAAAAAAAGTAATTTTTCCCTCAAGTCATTTTTCTGCCCTCTGTTATATTTTAGAGCCACCCTTCTTCATTCCCTTCATAGCATGAATGGATCTGAGTGCATCACATCCATTGATTTGTTGGCATATTCATGGCTTCTCTCCCTGGCTCAGGAACACATTAGATTTTCCTGGACCCTGTGCGCTTTTGCCTTCATGGGGCTCCTTCCACCATAACTATAGCAACATTAAAAATTATTTTTGATAAAACTTTAAATATTTAAACATTTTATTTTTTTCTATTTAGGCAAAATGTAATCAGTTTTCATTGATTTTTTTCACTGAAGTTTTGTTTTTCTGATATGAGAAAAAATAAAACATTCCAATAACCCTAAGATTTTATTTTTTCTTTCTGATTGTAAAAAATTTAAAACACTATGGTGAGCCCCTAAAAGTAGTGGGTAAGTTGGCCCCACTCTCCATGGAAGGTAAGCCCCATGAGGGCAGGAATCCCATCTGCCTACTCTCTCTCCTTGGAATCCCTTCCTACTTTTTCTCCTTGAAATCCCATCTTCCTGCTCCCTCTTGTTGGAATTCCATCTCCCTACTCTCTCCTTGGAATTCTGTCTGCCTACTCTCTCTTCTTGGAATTCCATCTTCCTACTCTCTTTCCTTGGAATCCCATCCTGAGATCCCAGCTGGACAGGACTGCTGCAAAGCATCATGGTAGGCGCACTATGCAAATATGCCTCAAGGCCACGCCCCCACCTGATGCTTTATGGAGGACAAAGCTCTGCAGTAATTGTTACCTTGATCCTGTCCCTCAGCCCTGACCTGGGGGATGGAGAGCAAGGATCCCTGGCACATGTGCTTGGGGGATGCCCTGGCAGGGACAGAGCTGCGAGACTGACCCTCTCCCTCCTTGCTGGCTGATTCCCTGGCAGACCTGTTGAATGGGGCTTTCATTTCGCTGACCCTGGGGTCATCTGTTTTCAGAAGGTGAAATATGGCCACCTGGTCGTGGACAGAAGCCAGGGAGATAAGGGCCAGGGAGGAGCCTCCCGTCCAACAAGCCGTGACTAATGATGATTGGGGTGTGTTTGGTGGGGCAGAATTTATTTGGCTCCTGGTTCACCACGGGATTAACTCTTTGTGGACTCTTGAGCTACTGGCTCTGAGGTGTCCAGTTTTCATGCACAGTGGGTTTTGGATTCTATTCATCCAAACACAAAGTTTAGGGGAGTATGGTGGGAATTTAATAGATATTTGTGATAGTTAAGAGGGGAAGAAGGAAGCAAGGGAGAAAAGGAGAACAGAAAAGAAGGAAGGAAGGGAGAAAGGAGGAGAGGGAAGGAAGAAAGAGATAAACGTATATTTCATGCCCTTGACCCTTCAGCATAATAAAATTAACTAGCATTTATCATGTGTTTACCATGAGTCAGGCACTGACACCAAACAATTTACATGTATCATCTCATCTAACCTTCAAATCTATGAGGTACACAGTATCATACAAAGCTATTCAACAGACTAGGAAACTGAGACTCACGTATTATTTCGTATGCCCTTTTAATGGATGAGGAAATAGAGCTCAGAGAAATTAAGTTACTCACTAGGAAGCGGCAGGGCTGGAAGTCGGACGAAGACTTTATCTTTTTGGCTTCTGATCTTGAACTCTTAGCTGCTGTGCCAAACTGTCTTCTGATGTAAACAGTGAGGTACCTACACATATTTTTTAATGGTTTTAAAAAACGTTTTTCTGTTTGTAACAAACAGCCTCAAAATCCCAGAAGCATACAATAAACATTTATTTTGATGCTCCAGAGGTTTGCGGTTTGGCTGGGGTTTGGCTGACGTAGGCTGGGCTTGGCTCCAGGCTTCTTGTTGGGCTCAGGCCTTTCTGTTCTACATAAGTGCATTCTAGGGGTGCAAGCTTCAGGAGCAGCAGTGACTTGGGGTGCACATGACTTCTTACAGTGAAGCCAAAGAAAACAAGCCCAACCAAGCAGGCCCATCAGAAACCTTTGCTCTGCCCACAGCCTCTAGCATCCTGTTAGTCAAAGCAAGTCACATGGTCAAAGTCAAGATAGGGACATTCACCCGATAGCCATGAAGCCAGGGGAAGGATAGGGAAGTGTAGTTCTATAACATGAAAGGAGTGAAGAATGGGGAACAATAACCAACCCACATGCCCATGAAGTAGAAAAATGTAAGGAATATTATTTGAGGTGGAGGTACAAAAATACAGAACACATGGTATTATCTCTGCCTGCCTAACTTCTCAGTCTCTGTATTTATGCAGAAATGTCCTCTGCAACTCACACTGAGCAGAAATACACACACACACCAGCAAATAATTGTACATCTCTCTGAATGGTTAGTCACTTTAAAGTCATCTACATCAGTCATTCTCAACCAACACCCTTTTGCCCCCTAGGGGATATTTGACCATGTGTGGAGATATTCTTAGTTATCACAACTTGGAGGTGGTGGCATGCTATTGGTATCTAGTGGGTAGAGGTTAGGGATGCCATTAAGCACCCTAGAATGTGTAGGGCAG
Source organism: Homo sapiens (assembly GCF_000001405.40). Lineage (NCBI taxonomy): Eukaryota > Metazoa > Chordata > Mammalia > Primates > Hominidae > Homo > Homo sapiens. The sequence continues at coordinate 114,222,317 of NC_000012.12, forward strand.
CCCCCCACAACAAAAAAACTATCCAGCCCCAATGTCAATAGAGCCCAGGTTTAGGAACCCTGAGCTTGAGCAGTGTAACCCAATCTGGTGGCTAAGGAACTTTTAAAAAAAAATACAGATTCTTGGCATTCCAGTGCAGAGGTTTTTGCTCTGAAGGGTTGAGATTTAGCCTTGGAATCTGTATTTCCAACTAGAAATTTAAGACACTTTGGTTTACTAATCAGAACTTGGAAACTGTTGCTTTTGGTCCTTGTTATGCCCAGACAGGAACCCCAAATTAAAGATTATTTTAGGATTTACACAGAACAATCCTCCCTTAAGGCCCTCCTAACACTGCCCTCTCCAGAAATCTGGCAAATTTGCTTCCCAGCCTCAGGGTTCACAAGGTTTGCCTACAAGTGGAATCTCTAAATAGTCCAGGCAATCTACAATTTCTCTTCCTCCGCTTCCTTTCACTTTTAAAATGAGGAGGAATTCGAGGAAAATGTAATCCATATGTTTCAGAATCATTTACACTTAAATCATGAAAGTACTGCTGTGGTTTTTAAGAGCTATTTGATGTTCAAAACACCTTATGAGGATCTTAAAAATAAGTGTTTTAAAGTCTCCTTTTACTTTCAGTTGGATTTTGCTCTGGGTAAATGAATTCAAACACAGTGAAGCAGGAGGCGGGGGTATTGTGCCGGAAAACCCAAGCCATGAATCTGAAGGAAATTCTACACTCGCCAAATCAGTTCTTCTGCTCTCACCTAAGGCATCCCTTGAGATGCATCCATTTCATGCAATAAAATCGATCTATTTTCCCAATGATTACGGATTCAAGCAGTCACTCAGTTGAGTCTTTAGACATCTCCCTTCTCATTTTGCTTTTCATTGTTCCTCAGGTTTCATATTTAAACCATTTTGACTCACTCTAAGTGGAGATCCAATTCCTTCTTCCAATACGTTTGTTATTTCTAAATAGCAACTCAGCTCTGTTGCCAACATCACATTTTACTCTTCTTTCTGTACCCCAGGGAGTCCCAGGTGGGAGTCTAAATTCTACAATTGACCATATATTTGCTTGCAGTGCAGGTGAGCCTGCCTGTTTGGAAAACTGATTTGGCAAAATACCTCATCTAAGACGTGCTCATCCACAATGGTTCTACTTCTGAGAATCTAGCAAAAGGAAATAATTCTAAGTGTGGAGTAATACAGCTTTTCACACTGGTATATTCAGCACCATTTATAATAGAGAAAAACTGCAAACAACATAGATAATAATAATGGCAAAAAATGGTGCATTAAATAATGGTTTAGCTTTCAGTGTCAACATTAACACTGGTGGGTACTAAGACTGCTTAAGATAGGAAAGGGGAAGAGAATGATGTGTTTTGTAATGTGAAAGCAAATAGATTATGCACGCATCCCAGGAAAAGGAGATGCTTCAGGAAATTCTTATGAAGGTATTAGAATTTCCCTGGTGATCAATAATGTAGAATATTTTTTCATACACCCGTTAGCCATTTGTATGTTTTATTTTGAGAAATGTCTATTAGGGTCTTTTGTGCATTTTTAAATTGGGTTTTTGTTGTTGTTGTTGTGGAGCTGCTTAAGTTCTTTATATATTCTGGATATAATTAACCAGATAAAGGGAAGAGGAAAAGGCATTTCGGCCAGGTGAGACAACGTAAGCAAAAGCAGAGAGGTGAGTGGAAAACTGCTATGCATTCGGTGCTGCTAGAGCTCAGAGTTCCAGGCAGGGAGGAGGAAACACTGAAGTTGGAGCAGAGAGCACAGGGTGGAGATCTTCAATAGCCTGGGCTTTAGCCTGGAGGCAATGAGGAGCCATGGAAGGTGTTATGGAAGGGGCAGTCATATTTTTACTTTCACACGATAACTATGTCCATGGCATGGAAGATAGATTGAAAAGCAAGAAAGGCAGCTGAGAGACTTCATTGGAACCTACTTAAGTGGCACCCAGATGAGATGCTGAAAGCCTTGATTGTTAAGGTCCAAATTCATTCATTCAGCAAGTATTCATTTTGTTATCAATGGAGGTGAGATTTGTGTGAGGCATGTCTAAAAGGAGCTGAGAAAGAACCTGATGCTTAATTGGAAATCGGGGAGCATGGAGGAGACAATGAACAATGGATGCCAGGTGTGTAGTTCAAACAGCTGGGTAGATGCTGCTGTTATTTACTGAGCTAGAGGTAAAAGGGTGAGACCAGGATTGGGAGAGAGACAGTGAGTCCAATTTGGGGCAAGGTGAGCCAAGATGGAGATGCCCAGCTGGCAGGTGGCTGTGTGACCCTGGGACAGGTGTGGGCTAGAGATATTGGTGTAAGAGCTGACAGCACACTGGTGGCATTTGAAGCCATGCGAGTGAACAAGATTCACCAGGGAGGGTCTGTTGAGTGAGGAGAGCAGGGCCAGAGACCACACCCTAGGGACAGTTTTAACCATCACTTCACTGTAAAAAGTCTGCAAATGCATTTAAACGGGGAAGGTTGCTTTTCAAGGAGAAATTGCTACTAGTCTACTAGCTAGTGTGTTCAGGGAAATATAGGCAGACTATGCCATGGGGAGAATAGAAAAGCAAAGATGAGAAAGGGGAGGATTTAGGTTAAGATGTGATTTAAAGGGGATATGTGGGCATGGATATCTACATGGAGGGCAGACGGCACAGTACAGAGCATTGTGGCAGAAAAGGAGACCTAGAGAGGTGAGAGAAGAGAGAGGGGGAAATAGGGTTTTGTGAATAAAGGGATAAGACAAAGAAAGGGAAAGGAGAGAGTCATAGAGAAAGTGAAAGACCCAGGACTTGGAGAGCTCCCTTCTATGAGCCTCTCTTGCTAGGGAAGGTGGTGAGTGGGCACACGGTCCAGCCTGCCACTGATCTGGGGTCAGGGGTCCCTGGACCTGATAAGAGAGAGCTGAGTAAGCAGCAACCACAGGCTGACAAGGAGTCCCTTCATCCTCGCTCCTCCTCAGAACCCAGCATGAGCCCCAGAAAGAAATTTCTCCACCTGCCTCCCTGTGCCAGCATGGAAAGTTCAAGAAGGTCAGTTACCTCAAATCTCCAGAAGGTCTGACATGGGGGATGCTGTCAACAGACTCTGGGTGGCCCCGTCCCCAGGTAGAAATGAAAGGGGCAGGACTGGCTTCTAAAGAAAGAAGAAATTTATAGACTCCTAGTCACACCATGACAAAGACTATTTCCGTAGGTAGTGAGTGGCTTATGCCTGGAGGAATTTAAGCTAACAATGGATAAACACTGAGCAAGGGATGCTGTGGGGTAGATTCCTGTATCAGATGAGTACCTGAGTACATGATCTACCCATTCTTTTCCTCTTGTAGCATTGTGCTTGGTACATAACTAGGCCTCAAAAAAGTTTGCTATTATTGTTATCATTCATATGAAAGTGTCCAACCTAAAATCCCCAGTGGGGCCAGCAGATATCATAAACAGTGACTGGTGGGGATTTTCTAATCCAAACAATGCATGAACACTCCTGCTCACTCCCGCTAGCAGTCCTGCAATGCCAAAAGCATTCTGGTTTTCTGAGAGAAGCCAGAAATCCATATTGTAGGTGAACTTTTAAAATGTTGGCTCAAAGAACATGTTAACATTAGGCAGGTAAAATAAAACACACCGAGGGCCAGTCTGCCCATGCCTCATTTGTGACCCCTGAGCTAAGGTCTGTCCAGTCTATGCTTTAGAATCTGGGCTTAAGTTTCCATCCTGACTCTTCCACCTACAGGCTGTGTGACCTTGAACAAGTTACTTAACCTTTTTGTGTCTCAATGTCCTTAGCCAGGTAATACTTGTTCTGTGGGGTTGTTGTGTGGAATAAATTAGATAACGCAGCCAAGCTCCTGAGTGATATCCCACGCATGGTAAGACTTAGTAGGTGATCATTGTTGCTGCTGTTGATGATTTTTCCTATGTTCAAGTCATGTTTTATGTTCCGGGCAGAGTCATTTTATGGCAAATGGTCCACCTGCACCCCACGGTGAGGTCTGGTCTTTTCCCAGTGTGTTGCCTTGGGATCTTGGCTGGCAGCCTCTTCTTACTACAGGCGTGCCGAGTGATTGCCGGCTACATGTGTACCTGGTGACAACTTTAACCTGGCTGCCGGGATTTAGGGAAGGGAGACAGGGTCAGCTTGAAGGAGGCTGTTTGGGAAAAGCCGAGTGCTGAAACCTTAGTCCCAAGAAGGTGGAAACAAGCTCAGTTGCTGCCAGGGCTCTGCATTCACACAGTTTTGCTTATTAGTGCAATCCATGGGGTTGGGAAATAATGCCAAATATTTTTCTGGCTCTTAAGGAACTCAGATTTGAATGTGTTATGAGCCACCTGGGGAGTGTGTTAAAATGTAGATGCTAATTCTGTAGGTCGGGGGTGGGGCAGAGACCACATTTCTGATGAGCTCCCAGGGGGCGCTGATGCTGCTGGCCCAGGGACCACACTTTGAGTAGCAAGACATTAACCATGGCCCAGCCTCTGGTCTAAGCCTCGGGTAGCTTCAGGAAAAGATGGGGGCCCCAGGAGGAAATGTCCTACAAACAAAATAACCTCCAAAGATGAAGAGCATGTTCTAGGATGGGAACCAGAAGTAATATGACCCAAATCATATCATGACCTCATTTTTAAAATGAAACAAGCTGAGAAAGTTCAAATCACTTGTCCAAGGTCACACAGCTGGAAAGGAGCTGAGCTGAGATTTAAATCCTGTCTTTAAGGCTGGGAACGGTGGCTCGCTCCTGTAATCCCAGCACTTTGGGAGGCTGAGGTGGGCAGATCACTTGAGGTCAGGAGTTCAAGACCAGCCTGGCCAACATGGTGAAACCCCATCTCTACTAAAAATATAAAAATTAGCCAGATGTGGTGGTGCACACCTGTAGTCCCAGCTACTTAGGAGGTTGAGGCAGGAGAATCACTTGAACCCAGGAGGGAGAGGTTGCAGTGAGCCGAGATCATGCCACTGCACTCCAGCCTGGGTGATAAGAGTGAGACCCTGTCTCAAAAAAAAAAAAAAAAAAAAAACCAAACAACAACAAGAACAAAATCAAATCCCATCTTTAAGATTCTGGAACCCATGTTCTAACCAAAGGTCTGCTTGTTTCTACTTGGATTAAACAGGTTTTCCTTATGCTCCCCCTCCCCCACCTCTTCTTCTTTTCCCCCTGCTCCTCCTTCTCTTCCTTCTTCTGCTTCTCTCCTCTTTCTTCTCCTCTTCCTCCTTCTATAAGGAGTGTACATACACATCCTGTATTTTAGTAGTTTCTAACCTAGGATCAGTGGGACCCACAAACCACCTTAATTTAGATGCAAAATTTTGTATACATGTGTGTGTTTTTCCCAAGGAGCCTGTCCATGACTTTTTTCAGATTCTCAAAGAAATTCAAATACGAAAAATTTACAACCTCTGCTACGGACCTCATCTCTCTCTCTCTCTCTCACACACACACACACACACACACACACACACACACACCCCTGAAAGATGGCTACCTTCACTCAGACGTGGCATGAAGATGCTGGGATATGGGCTTTGGGGAGATTGCCTTGGAGAGCACCCTCAGATAGGAACTGCAGCTGCTGGGGTGAGGGTGAAGGATGGGGAGGAGGTGTCTTTTAGATGCTGTCTTGGCCTGCAGTCTGCCTGGACACACAGACAGCAGCATACATGCTGTGGAAAGAGCATCCTCTCCTGCTCCCTCTCCTCCCATCCTGCACTGGGACAAAAAGCCTAACCCTAGTCTAAGTGAATCCCAAACATGAGGAGTCAGGGATGCAAGAGGCTTTGGAGCTTGCTCTTTTTTCACTTCTTGGCTTTGTAGTTGGGGAAACTGAGTCCTGGGGATAGAAAGGGGCATCTTCAATGCCTCCAGTCAGTGGTGGCAGGGCTGGGTCAGACCTGCACCTCCTAAGTGCTTACCCAGAGCTCTTTCCACCCTCCTTAAGTCAGTCTTTCCCAGTCTCATCCCGGCCACAATTCTGTTAACCAGGAATGGAGGCAACCCTGCCATTCTGCCGATGAGCCCAGCTAGAACCCAGGAGATTTTAATGTCATGAGCTGCTTTTGAAGTAGTCCGTTAAAAATCAAAAGGCCCCAAAGCTCTTTCTCCAGTGTCACCCACTGGACAGTCGGCAGGCTTTATCTGCCAGCACTTAAAAAAGAAAAGAAAAAACGGAAAGATACTGCCACTAAAGAAGAATCCGAGGCCCCCGGAATCTTAACAAGGCAGCTCTGTTTCTTATCATCTTCAAAAAGCCTTTATTAAGCCTCTCTGGGCTCATGTGGCCAAGTGAAGCACTTTACAGAATCAGATCAATCAGTGGTCCGTCAACAAATGTGTACCTTGAACCTACTGTGCGAAGCCGGCGATGTGGGGGGTACGAGGGCATGAGGCGCGACCCTTGACCTCATGTTAGGGATGCCAAGGGTCTATCTGCCCAAAACACTGCCTTATCCAGGTTAGGGTGGGACAGGTGGTGAGTATTGTTGGGGATAGAAGAGGAAGGAAGGAAAGAAGAGGACAGAGATTCCGGGTACCAGGCAATTAGAACTTCCAACACCCTGGGTATCCTGTGATTCAGGTTCTCAGGCCACTGTTTTCATTATCTTTGGCTCTTTGGGGCATGGAAACCATCTTGGGCATGAGATGTTCTCAGTACCCAGCAGAAGCCTGGTATTCAGAAATGTCTCCAAAGCAGAATCACAGACCTTAAGTTACCAAAAGATGCTGGGAGTGTTTCCAGGTATGGACATAATGATGCCATGTTTGGAGAATTGTTTTTTGACTTCCAAAACAATTGCAACTAAACTCAGTGATGATGGGCCTTAAGCTGAGGAAATACGTCTTCTTTCTCCATTGGATCCTGGCTTAAAGAAAATATAGTTTTAAAAAGGGTTGCAGAAAACAGTTTGGAAAAAATATCTAGTTTTTTAAGATAGAGGATAAAGGACTTTTGAAGTCACTCAGACCTGAGGTGCAAAACTTATCTTTGCTACTTTTCTGGCTGTGTGACTTTTGGCAGGTTACTTAACCTCTCTGTGCCTCAGTTTACTCATCTGCAAAACAAGGATTAAAATAACTTTTTCCTGGAATTATTGTAATGTTTAAAGCTAATATTTGCAAGTGGTCTAGTATAGTACCTAGTACATGCAAACAGTACATGAAAGCAATCATTATTACTCAGTAAGTGGAAGCAATGCCTAATTTAGTCTGTGTTAACTGTTGGAGGGTCCATGTAAAAATTTGGAATAGGTTCTGCTATTCCAAATAGAAATCTCCAAATAAGTGACCTAAACAAAATACATGTGTATTTCTTTCTCTTGTAAATAAGCCCAGAGGTGATCAACACAGAGCTGCTATGAATGCTCTGCTCCTGACATTCTAAAGAACCTAGATTCTTCTCAGCTCAATGTTCCATCATCCCTAGAGTGTGGACTGATCCTCATGGCCCAAGATGACTGCTGAAGCTCCAGCCATCACACTTCAAGTACCTGGATAGGGAAGGAGGACAGAAGGAGCTACTTTCTCCCTTAATAGGGCTGCCAGATTTAGCAAGTACAATTACAAATTACCCAATTACATTTAAATTTTTGATACATAACAAATAATTCTAGCATAAGCATTTAGGACATACATATTTTTTAAGTCTGTTTTTTATTTTGAACTTATATATAATTTGGTGTCCTGTATTTTATCTGGCAGCCCTACCCCTTAAGGATATTTCTCCAAGTATCTCACAACATTTCTGCTTGTATTTATTGTCCAAAACCCAGTCACATGACCAACCTCTCTGCACCTGAGACTGAAAAATGTTGTATTTACTCTGAATGGCCCTGTGCCTTGCTAAAAATTAGAGTCTTTATTACAAAAGAAGAATAAGAAAACAGACATTGTGGATAGGAAGTATACAATCTCTCCTATGTTTTATTTGTAAACAAGGGGTGATAACATTAATGTGCTCAAGTATAGTGTGCACTGTCACAGAAAAATAATCAATTCCATCAGAATATTATAACTTACCTCTACTCAGTGATTTAGATTTTCAAACCATACTCACAGTGACCACATAGGCAGATTTTGTTGACCTGATTTTTCATCTGAGAAAACTGAGGCTCAGAGAAGTCACTTGACTTGCTCAAGTTCACATAGAAAGAAAATTTTATAACAATCCAGGTCCCTCGTCAGCACAACTTCAATGAGTATTTACTATGTGCCTGGTATGGTACCAGACTGCAAACCTATTCAGAACATAAGATAGAGACTATCTTGTGTATTATTTTATCTGCAGCATCTTTGACAGCCCCTGGCACATAGTTGGTACCAGTTTTAGATTTCTATTGCTGTGTAATTACCACAAACTTAGAATCTTAAAATTATACACATTTATTATTGCATGGTTTCCTTGGCTCAGAAGTCTGAACACAGCTTAGCTGGGTCTCCTACTCAGGGTCTCACAAGACTGCAGTCAATGTGGCAGCTGGGCTGTGTTCTTATCTGGAGACTTGACTGGGAAAGAATCTGCTTCCAAGCTCATTTAGGCGATTGGAAGAATTCATTTCCTTGTGCTGAATATAACTCGTAGCAGCTCATTTCTTCATGGTCAGTAAGAGAGAGAGCCTCTGACCTCAGGGAAGGCCATGTTTTCAAAGCTTTTGCCTGGTTGAGTCAGACACATCCAGGATAATCTCCCTTTTTTTGTAATACAAAAACCAACTAATTTAGCAGCTTAATCTGCAAAATGCATTCATCTTTGCCATATTCTACTGGTTAGAAGGAAGTCATAGGTTATACCTATACTCAGAGCAGGGAATTATGCAAGGCATGAATGTCAGGGCTTGGGGATCATGGGGGCTATTCAGGTCTATCTGCCACATTGCCAACATGTATTTCAATAAATAACTGAATGGATGAATGATCAACTATATCAAGCTTGTCCAACCTGCAGGCCACATGTGGCCCAGGATGGCTTTGAATGTGGCCCAACACAAATTTGTAAACTTTATTAAAACATTATGAGATTGTTTGTGATTTTTTTTTAGCTCATCAGCTATTGTTAGTGTTAGTGTATTTAATATGTGGCCTAAGACAATTTTTCTTCTTCTTATGTGGCCCAGGAAAGCCAAAAGATTGGACACCCCTAGATTATATGAATGCATGAATATTTAAGTGACTTAATGCTAAAGACACAAATATGAATTAGATGATAATCCGGCTCTAAATACTGTGTTCCTTCTCTACATCACACCAGTAACCCCATCCCTGAAGGTACCTTCTGGCTTTGAGATTCCCAGTTCTGTGATCTAATGTCTGGGGCCTCAGGCTTAAGCCTCTAGGTACCTATAGGCAGGAAACAAAGAACCCCAAACAAAGAAGCCACAAAGAGGCAGGAAGCCCGTACATCATGCAGCAGCCTCGGTGTTGGAAGCCCTGTTGAAGTGCCGACAGCGTTTTTATGTTTGGAGAATCGTAGTAATGGGGAACACATTTTTATTAAATAGATGCAGTATCAGGGTGTCTGCTAGTAGCTATTTTCTTAAACTCACACAGTAGGTATTGATTACCGACCCAAAGCCATGTCTCCTAGGAACTGTAAGTTATGTCCTTCGTGCCTTTCTGAAAACCATCTTAAGCTGTTGTGTGGTTGTCAGTTCTTTCAATGAGAAGCTAAAAGATTTTTTAATGTATTTTTGGTGGGGGTGGGGTGGATGGAATGTTGGCCCAAAGTGAAGCATGTGTAGTCAAGCCTGCTGATCCACACAGATCTAATAGATTAATTTAATTTATTTTTTTCAAGACAGAGTCCCGCTCTGTTGCCCAGGCTGGAGTACAGTGATGCCATCTAGGCTCATTGCAACTTCCACCTGTAAAATGGCAATAAATAAATTCACAGGACTCTTATAAGAATTGAATAGCAGAGCACCTAAAGGTATGAGGATTATGCCTGGAAAATGGCATATGAAGCCTCTTCTTCCTTCTTTTCTTCCTTCCTTCCTTCTCTTTTTATTTCTTCTTTTCTTCCTTCTCTTTTCTTCCTCCATTTTTCTTTTTTCCTCCCTTTCTTCCTTTTTTCTTTCTTTCTTCCTTTTTTCCTTCATTCTTTCCATCTAATCTCTCCCATCCATCCATACAACCATCTACTCATCCATCCAACTATCCATGCACCTGTTGTCCGTCCGTCCATCCATCCATCCATCCATCCATCCACACACCCATCCACCAATCCACTCTCTTCTCTTCTCCTAACCTCTGTTCCTGTGTCTATGCTCCTGATCTCCTTAATTTCCTATTTGGGGCTCCAAGTTTGCCCTGTGAGCTGGAGGACATTTCTGGTCTCGGTTCCCATGGCCCTTCAGAATATGGCTGTCACTGTTCTGCCTGTCCTTTATCTGACTGCCTTTAGTCACTGCACAGTCCCAGACTCCTGGACCCATGGTTTCATTCCGGATTTTTTTTTTCTGGGCCTCCCAATGCCCTCACCCTCTTCTAAATCCTTCTGGATTTTCTGCAAGCCTCTAGCCATTCCTTCTCCAACTTCTTTGGGTTGTTTTCCACTGTGAATGTTTTCCATTCACTGGCCATGGAAGTTTCTCAGGCTCCTTCCTTGGTCTGTCTCTCCTCATTTTGCATATTGGGTCTGGGTGATTCCCATTGTTCTCCTTATCACTGTGCTGGAGATTTCCCATTTACTCCTCCAGATCCACTCCTCATCCTGCTCCCCTTGCTCTGTGCCCAAAAAGTTGGGCTGCATGGACACATCAACGGACTCCCTTGCCCTCTGGCTTCAGGTTGGGAGGCACCAGCAAGAGACTAGAGGATGGGAGGATAGGAAGGTCTGGGTGTTTATTCCCTGCTCCCTCCCTGCTAGGCCCCTCTTCCAAAGGCAGGCAGCCCCTCTTCCTGAGAGCAGCTACAGCTCTGGCCAGACCCTGGTAACCACCCCTTCCCCTTCCCCTTCTCCCTTCCAAACTCAGGATGGTGTGATCGTCATTTTATTATGTCAACTTGGCCAGGCTATAATCCCTGTTATTTAATCACACACTAAGCTCTGTGTTGCTGTGAGGGTATCTTGTACATATGGTTAACATCTATAATCAGCTGACTTGAAGTAAAGGAGATTGTCTTTGATCATATGTGTGGGCTTCATCTAATCAGTTGAAAGGCCTTGAGAGCAAAAATTGAGGTTTCCTTGTGAAAGAAGAAAGTCTGTCTCAAGACTGCAGCATCAGCTCCTGCACAAGAGTTTCCAGTGTGTCCACCTGCCCTACAGATTTCAGACTTGCCAGCCCCCACAATATCATAAAACAATTTCTTGAAATAACTCTCTTGATAGAGGGGTGGATAGATGGATAAATTGATAGACAAAGGATAGATGGGTAGATAGATAGATAGAGTGATAGAAAGATGGATAGAAAGAAAGATAGATGAACGGATAAAAGACAGGTAGAGGATAGACAGATAAATGGGTGGATAAGATTGGTAGATACATGGATAGATGGATGAACAGATTGATGGATGGATGGATAGTTTGGATACATAGAAAGAAGGATGGATAGGTAGATAGAAGGAAAGATGGGTAGATAAATGGATAGATGATAAATAGAAGCATAGATGGATAGAAGGGAAGATGAACTGATAGAAGGATAGATGGATGGATGGATACATAGAAGGAGGGATACATAGAAGGATAGATGGATGAATTTGGAGATAGAAGGATAGATGGGCAGATGGGTGGATAGATGATAGACAGAAGGATAGATGGATAGATGGATGAATAGAAAGATGGATAGATAGATGGATAGTCTACACTGATTCTGTATCTCTGGAGAACGCTGATCAATACAGGTGGCATAGGCACCCCACTGTTGCTAGCCCCAAGGTTCTTCACCCCTTCGTGGGTCTCCTTCCTCTGTTCATATTCTTATAGGCCATCTTTTCATTAAACTCTTCTCAGCTGCCCAGTTTGAATAAACATATGCTTCCTCCCTAGGCCCTGGGTGATACTCCATCAATTTGTAGACAAGGCCCAAGTCTGTACCTCCAGCTCAGACCTTGCAATTTCAGCCTTGAACCTGGTTGAGGTCTATAATGGTTAATTCTATTTGTTAGCTTGAGTGGGCACCCTGACTAATACAATATTTCCACTTGAACATTCTACCAATATCTAAAACTTCAAAACATCCCAAATGGAGCCTGTCATTCTCCTCCTCAGGCACAGCAAGGGCATCCCCTCTACCAGTCCCTCACCCCCTTATCCAATCAACCACCACTCCATCCATGAGCCCTGCCTGCCATATAGTGAATGTAACTGTTCATCAGATGCGTATTTTCTGAATGTCGACTGTGTGTGCAGCCCCATTCCTGTGCTGGGCGTCTGTGCTGAACAACACAAACAAAACCCCAGACATTCTGGTCATGGAAATAGGAAGTAAATAAACATGTCAGGTAGTGACAAGGGCTATAAATAAATGAGTAAAACAGAGCCAGAGTTTAGAAAGGTGGGAGGTATGGAGGGACTACTTTAGGAAGGAAGGGTGGTCAGGGAAACCTCTCTGAGGTGGTGACATTTGACCAGAGTCCTGAAGGAGGTAAGGGATGGAGGGAGCATGGTTACATGTAGGAGAAGATCAGTTCTGGGTGGTGGGAACAGAAGATGCAAAGGCCCTGAGGCAGGAGCGAGCTTTGTATGCTGGAGGCTGGGTGAGAAGGTGCATGTGGTGGAGAGAAGTAGGAGAGGGCTCAGAGAGCCCAGCCACCTTTCCTCGCCTCACTGCAGCTCCCAAGCTCAAGCCCCTGTCTCTCTCCTGCATTGCTGCAGCAATCTCCTAATTGTCCTTGTTTTCCACTGCTTCAATCCATCCTCTGCAACCAGAGTGACTGGTTCGATCACAACACTGCTGGCCTTTGAAATGTCCAGAGCCCTTGGAATCAAGTCCACAGTCTGCAGAGAAACATACAAAGGCCACCTTGACCCAGCCCCCTGTTGATTCTCCTGGCCTCAATCACCCCTTGACACTCCCCACCCACCACTCCTCCCCAGCCACCAGGAACATCTAATCCCCATGCTCACCACACTCTCGCTTGCCTCTAGGTATTTGTGCTATTTCCTCTACTAGTATTCCATTGGCTACCCTATGCTTCATCCAGACATCAACTTTGATGTCACCTCCTCCAGGAAGCCTCCTGTGACCCGAAGCCTGGGTCAGAGGTTCCCACTCTGAGTTTCCACAGCCCCTAGTATTGAGCCATCAGAGCCCACTTTAGCTGTATGGAATGTGTCATCTCTTTGAGCACAGTGACTGTGCCAATTATGTCTGAATCCCCAGTGCTGAACAAGTGCTTGACACCTAGGAGATGCTCAGAAAATACTGATAAAATAAAGGGGTAAGGAAAATGGAGCAACGGACTCTCAGGTATGCAGAAAAGATATAAGACTCTGTCCTCCTGGACAATCTAACAACACACCTGGGGTGGGGGAGATGAGATTCACACACAAAAAAAACCACAGGATGCTTAAAGCTAAGCTGTAGGGGTCAAGAGACATTCAGGGCAAGGGCAGCTTGGGGAGGGCTGGAATATTTGGGTTTTATTTCTAGGAAGAGAAATAGGAAAAGATAGGATGAGGAAGAGGGAGAAGAACTTGAGTGGCATCTCCAAGAATAAATAGGATTTGTATAGGTGCAGAGGAGGACCAGAAGGGAAACAGTACTATCAAAGACAGGGGTGAGGCTAAGCTGAGTCCCCATCCAAGTGGTAGCTGTTGAAGAACCAGGAGGAAATGCCAGCTGGGTAGCAAAGGGTAAGGTGATGAAGTCTCTAAGAAGTCATGGGTAAGAGCAGAGCTTCTGGAGTCAGACCTGGGTTCAAATCTTCCCTCCACCACTGGAAACCATTTGACCTGAACAAATCACTTTCCCCTTTTGGGTCCCAGTTTCCACCTCTGTAAAATGAAGATCATGAAAATTCAGCTTCAGGACCCTTTACCCTCACAGGTTCCTTCAAGACTCCATGAGGGGCTCTAGAGATGCTTCCACAGGGTCACATGGTTTTGCAAAAAAATGGAATTTTGCCCATCAATGATAGACTGGATAAAGGAAATGTGGTACACATTCAGGCAGGAGAAAATGTGTACTCTCATCTTTTCCAGAGTCACCTAGGAGGCAGGGCAGGGAGGGCAAGGCAGTCCTGAGAATCTGGAAGGGCTGTCTTGGGGAGGCTGAGGCCTCAGGCGTCCAGGACCAGAGAACAGCAAGCAAGCGTCTGTGTCGCCAGCAGCAGGGGGACCTGGTCAGGGGGACACCATGGAATACTATGCAGCCATCAAAAGGAATGAGATTATGTTCTTTGCAGGGACATGGATGGAGCTGGAAGCCATTATCCTCAGCAAACTAACACAGGAACAGAAAACCAAACACTACATGTTCTCACTTATAAGTGGGAGCTGAACAATGAGAACACATGGACACAGGGAGGGGAACAACACACGCCGAGGCCTGTTGGGGGGTGGGGTTGGGAGGGAAGAGCACTGGGCAAAACAACTAATGCATGCTGGGCTTCATACCTAGGTATGATGGGTGCACCAAACCACCATGGCACACAATTACCTATATAACAAAACTGCATATCCTGCACATGTACCCTGGAACTTAAAATTAAAATTAATTTTACAAATGGTAACTTCATGTTTTTTTTTCTTATTCCAATTGAATAAGCTTCAGGCCCCACAAAACTTGGATCTTTACCCCCCACCCTGACCTCCAGCCCTCTTCCAGGGGATTAAATGGAATCATGCGTATAAAGTCCTTAGCACACGGTGCTTGGCATATAATAGATACTCAATAAATGTTAGCCATCATTATAACCATCACCTCTATCAAGATCTTTGTATTCAGCAGGGTAATGGAAAGCAAACAAGAGAAACTGAATCTAACTAACTTGACAAGAAAAAGAATTACTGGGAGAATTTCTGGCAGCACCCCGGATTGGCAGGAAGGCTGGTGAAGTAGGCCTAGGGGACGGCAGGGATGAGAGCATCTGGGCATCAAGAGGGCCCCTCCCTCCCATTCCTGCAGGCAGAGTTCAACAACATCGCTCCCTTTTATGAGTTTACTTCCCCACCCCCCTCTGAAGAGGAGTGTTCCTGTCTTTGCAGATAAGGCAAATAGGTCTGCCTTAAATATTTCTATTACTTTAAAGTTCATAAATCCATTGGTTTAAAACTGTCAGCACGATGGGAAAATTCTGAGATGGAGCCACGCTTATCATTAGCTGAGGAATTTGCCTGAAGTGGGGGCAGGATGCTGAGTGAAGGATGGTGGTGGTGCCCAGAAATGGGCTACCTGCTTGCCCCACTCATGACTCTTGCCCTCTCAAGAAACATTTTAAACTATGGCCCTAACAGTCAGATGTCATACAAGGCAGGGGTCACTGAAAGCTTCCCTTACAATATTCCCAGTTCCTCGTCTGGCATGAGATGATGTCAGGGCAAGATGCCCACCCACCCTCCAAATGAGAGTGGCCCTGAGTCTAGGAAGTAGGAAGTATTTTCCACTCACCACTCATGCCCTGCCGAGTGACAGGAAAAGCTTCAGATGAGACGTAAAGAGGCTCCGGTTCTAGGCAATGATGTACTGGTAAAATGTTTAACAACTACCTCTCTTGGAGGAGAAAAGTGGTCTGATTTGTAGTATTTGCCAGTTTCAGTGGTGTAAATAATCCCAGCATGGCTGACGTCATGCGACAGTTAGGAATAGATGGTATGTAGCATCTCATTATATAGGACTTCCACCACACAGATACAGCAGGTGTAAATGACCTCAAAAACGAGTGATACGTTAGGAGTGATACATTTAGAGTATGTATTACCTTTGTCTTTAACATAATTTATTTAACTGTAAACTTGATATAATTTAATTTTTAATAATGTCTGTGTTTAACAACTGGTTCACAGAAGTCCTGAGAATTTAACAGTTGGCTCTTGCAAGCTGGTAAAACCAGCTCCAGGACAACCCTGGTTCCAAGGCCTCACTTCAGGATGCAGGTTTGCACAATCAGCACTGCTAATTTCTGTCTATGTGACTTTGGGCAACTTATTTAGTTTAACATGAGAACTATCTCTGAGCTAATGCTCACACAGAGCTTACTATAAGTCAGATGTTCTTCAAAGCTCTTTATTTGATCTTTGCAAGATCCCCATGAGGTAGACACTGTTATTTTACAGTGTTGTTTTGTTTACAGATGGGGGGGTGGGGGCTGAGACACAGGAAGACCATGTGACTTGTGCAAAAGCCCACAGCTGGGAAGTGGCAGGACTGGGACTTGAACCCAGGTCATCTGGATTTACTGGCTGTGATCCTGACCACTGCTCCACACTCCCTCTCTGTTATGCTGAGCCAAGCTTCTGTCTCTGCCTATAAAATGTAGATGTTATTATGTATCTCCTGGGGCGGTCATGAGGATATAAAGATTAAGTGAGTTGATGTAAAGGACCATTGGCGTGCCCCTTGGCACATGGAAACCCCACATAAATGGCAGCCACTTTAAGCATGCTTGGTACAGGGCTGTGGAAATTCCTTCTGGGCAGGAATCCCCGTGGGTGAGGGTGGCTGTTCTGTCTGAGCAAAGGGGAAAGGCTGGCAACGTATTATCAGCTGGCTCTGAAGAGCACTGATGAATCATCAGCTGTCATTCTATTATTATCCAGGCTTCAGGCACCCAACCTCTTATCTGTACTTGCTCTGCAAAAATATGTTCTCCCTCCACAGAGAAACTTTGGTGCACAGCGCTGGTGGATTCATGGAATAAAGCCACAGTATGGAGCTTCCAAAAGTTTCAAAATCCTCCCATCCAATGCACAGAGCGGTATGCAACTGAAGGCTTATTCCTCCACTGAGTAACTGTCTCTTGCTGTGTGGAAGACGGTGGCTTGGTTGCAGAAAGCCTAAAGATGTCTCCCAACTGCCCCTTCGAAACTTGGGCTGCAAATTCTGTTTGCCCCTTTGATTTCTTCACCCCATCTGTGTCCTGGGAGGCTGGGTCAAAATCACGGCTCTATTGTCTTCTATCTTCCTGCTGGGTTTTGCCTGTGGGAAATTAGGAGAGCAGGGCGGGAGGGAAAAGAGAGATCAAGGTACTTATTCCCTGGCTCCCTCCATGCCGGCCCTACATGGACTTAGCAGTGGCTGCTTTTCTCTATGAAAGGCTGCAGCTTCTTCCAGGGAGTCCTCTCTTAAACTCTCATCCTTACCAGGTTCTGGACCTTCTATGAAACCCTGTCCCTTAGGTCTCAAAGTGGTAGTAATTTTCCCCCTTGCTAGCCTCGGGGTTCTCTGCCATCCCTGTCAATTCCCTAAACCCAGTCCCACAGCGTTGTAATGACCCCTTCATTCCACCCTCTCTCACCCATTTTGACTGTGCATTTATTTCCTGCTGGGACATAAAAGCCTTCTCTGAACCTCAGTTTACCCATCCATGAAATGAGTCCTTCTCCTTCCCAGTCCATCTTGCAGAGGTTGCCTCAAGGGCAAAGCAAAACCTGGATGGGAAAACTCTCTGGGGAAAACAGAAGTTCAAAGTGCCACCCAGGAGCCAGGCATTCGTGTTATTAATAAAAGCCAGATAGGACTCTTCCATCTGCCTGTGCCTGCCTCCTCAGAATCCCCCTCCCCTTCACGCCCCCTGACCTCCTCTCCATGTCTCCGCCTTGACATCCTCCTCCCCTGGCTGGTGTTCCCACTAAAGCCATCTTCCCTTCCCCCGCTCATCCTGCACCTCCATGTCTGTGGAGGGATGAAGTGCCCGGCTAATATAAGCGTGTTTACATTAAAATATAAGGACAATTACACCAGCCGATCTAATAGTCGGCTCTGTATATGTTACCAAGTACTTAGGGCTCTCTTTTGGAAAGCCATTATGCCCATGTGATTCCCCTCAAAGCCTTTCTTGAGGATTTTGTTTTGACAGGAGGGCATTAAGGGGTTGAAACTGATAGCATAAGCACACCACTTACACACTTTGATCAAATCGGTCCATAATTCTCCTGCAGAAAGTCTTGTATATATTAGGAAGGAAATTAATTTTATTGCTGCTGCGGCTTTGCTGGTTAATGGCCCAGCAAGTCAGCCGGCCCCAGAAGGCGAGCCGTGGGAGGTGGGCTCACCGCTATCCTCCCAGGCCCAAGGTCCACGGCCACAGGTGAGTACGATCCAGAGGGCACAAGGCAGGAGAGCCCCGGATGCCGCAGGCTTCGGGGTGTAGGCAGCTGCAACCTGCTCCCTCTGAGCTGACCTCTCACCAGAGTTGTCACAGCTGAAATGCATATGGGGCGCTTACTGCATAATGTGGATTTGGTCCAAGCACACAGCACATGTCACAAGCTATCAGCATTGGAGGGGAATTCAAACACATACCATAATTTGAAAGACTTTGAGGGTGAAATGGTATCGTCCATTTATATTTGTACTGTTAGGAAACAGAGCTGGGAGAAGAAGATAATTTAAATAGCAAGGGTGTTGATCTGCCTATCATTTCATTTAATGAGCACGTACCCCAAAGTTGGTATGAGATACCAGATGGGAACAGGATCTCCTGGCTCTCTCTGGTCCCTGTGTGCTAAGATTGAGCCTAGAGATTAAGATGATAGTGTTTTGTACAGAATGCCCCCAAATGTCAGGCAGCCATTTCATCCGGCCCCTTCAAATGAACGAATACCAAACTGTTGCTATACTCAAGGGACAATGGTGCTTAAAGGAGTATTTTGTGCATGTATGGTTTTTGCCTTTCTCACTGATTTTGGAACTTAACTTCCCCACAAAAGGTAACTCCTTGTACTTCAAAAAAAAAAAAAAAAATTCAAGTAAAATTTTAAAACCACACATATCTATGAAAACCATCATCAATGTCATTATCGGGTGAAAGGTGAGGAGTATGGGAAGGAATAGATATGACAATACAGATGCTGGTAATTGCTGAAGCTGGCAGAAGGTACAGGGAGAGGAATACACTACACTATTCTGTTTACTTTGTTTATGTTTGAAATTTTTTATAATAAAAATTAAAGATCTTAAGGCTGGTCTTCTAATGACCTCATTTCTATTATCTTGAATTCTAGAATGCTTACTGGAGTGGGAGAGAGAAGGGTCGAATAGAGGTCTCACAAGAGGAATTGAGTTTAACCCCACAGGACAGGTTGTATGTGAGAATGTCATTCATCACACGTGTTTTGGGGTTTTTTGTGTATTTTTTTCTGGTATAAAAAAGAGATGGAGGACTTTGGGGCATAGAGGGGCAAAGGCACGAATTTTGCAGTCAGGTGACCATGTTCTGATCTCAGTTCTGTCACCGTGGGACCTTAAGCAAGACACTCTTTGAGTGTCAGTTTCTTCATCTGCAAGATAGGGATAATACTTACTTGACAGGATTACATGATCACAGCACAGGTAAAGTGCCTGGTACAATCTAGCCCTCAGTAAATAGTGGCTGGGGTCTGCATGTGTAAATCTTTGCCTCTCAGCAGGAACTCTTTTTTCTAATGATATCACTCTGGTTTTCCTCTGGGAAACTGCCCTTCCCTCTACTTCCAGTCCATGCGCTTTAGGTGCTGTGACTCCACCCCAAGCTACAACGGGCATGTAACTCAGGATGGCCAATCACACCTCCTTCCTGCCTTAGGGTGTGGTTTAGGTGCTGTGACTCCACCCCCAGCTACTAATGGGCATGTGGCTCAGGGTGGCCAATCACAGCTCCTTCCTGCCTTACGTTGGTTTAGGTGCCGTGACTCCACTCCCAGCTACAATGGGCATGTGACTCAGGATGGCCAATCACAGATGCTTCCTGACTTAGGTTAGTTTAGGTGCTGTGACTCCACCCCCAGCTACTATGGACATGTGACTCAGGATGGCCAATCACAGCTCCTTCCTGGCTTAGGGTGGTTTAGGTGCCATGAGTCCACCCCCAGCTACAATGGGCGTGCGACTCAGGATGGGCAATCACAGCTCCTTCCTGCCTTAGGTTAGTTTAAGTGCTGTGACTCCACCCCCAGCTACAATGGGCATGTGACTCAGGGTGACCAATCACAGCTCCTCCCTGCCTTAGGGAGTCACAGATGTCATGTGGCCACATTAGAACCAATAAGACAGATGTGTCATAGACTTTCACTGGCTTTTTTGATGGAGAAGCATGCTCTCTTATTGGAGATGAGAATGTAAGCCTGGATTTGCGAGCAGCCACTACTTTGCGAAAAGCAGGACTGAGGTAGACTAAATGTAGGCAGAAAGAAAATAACACCCACTCCTGAAAGAAAGTGAAAAAAAGACCCAGTCCCTGGATCAAGCCATTACTAAACCTATTGCATTTAGCCAAGCAACTGCCTTTGGGGCTTAAGCTCCTGTTAGGTTTTCTGTCACTTGCGAGGGAAAATTCTGACTACTACAATTATTATTGCCATTATTATTACTATCACTTGTCAGTTACAGTAGCCTATTTTTGTTCCTATTATATGAAACTTCCTTCTGAGATGGTGCCCTTTGGGATCTGTTATTCTAATGTCATATTATCCACCCAGCTTTGTAGTTTGTATCATTTGTGGTATTTCTTGCCTTCAGTATCACTGCTACACCATAAACATGTCTAAGGACTCTGGTCTAACATGACTAAGAAGGGAATAAAAAGAGATATTATCCTGCCAGGCAAATTCTGAAAACGCCCAGCCTCTTGGTAGGACCCCTAGAATATGACCAGTGGGGTGGCAAGCCCTGGTATCCCCAACATACTTTGGGGTGGGCATAGGGGCTATTTATGCTCCTAGAACTGAACAAGGCAACAACAGGGATAAGAGGTCTTAGACAAGTTTGTACGATAAGGGGCCTGAACCTTATCAGCTCATGGTTCACCTTCCAGTTATCTGCTGCCATGTAACAAATGGTCCCAAAATTAATGGTGTAAAACAACAATTATTTTATTAAGCTCGCAGATTCCATGGGTCAGGAAGTCAG
Organism: Homo sapiens; assembly: GCF_000001405.40. Classification (NCBI taxonomy): domain Eukaryota; kingdom Metazoa; phylum Chordata; class Mammalia; order Primates; family Hominidae; genus Homo; species Homo sapiens. The sequence continues at coordinate 114,243,310 of NC_000012.12, forward strand.
ACAAGGCGTGGTGGGTAATGAATTGTCTCTAGTCCACAGTATCTGGAACTTCAGCTTGGAAGACACATGGCTAGCAGTGACTTGAACAGTGGGAGCTGGGAGCATCTGGAAGCTTCTTTTTTTTTTTTTTTTTTTTTTTCGGAGTCTTGCTCTGTCACCCAGGCTGGAGTGCAATGGCACGATCTAGGCTCACTGCAACCTCTGCCTCCTGGGTTCAAGCAATTCTCCTGCCTCAGCCTCCCAAGTAGCTGGGATTACAGGCACCCACCACCATGCCCAGCTAATTTTTGTATTTTCAGTAAAGACAGGGTTTCACCATGTTGGTCAAGCCGGTCTTGAACTACTGACCTCAGGTAATCCACCCACCTCTTAACCATCTCTTTGGTGCCTGGGCTGGCATACCTGGAATGCTAGGCTCAACTGAAACCTACATGTTGATCAAGCTGGTCTTGAACTACTGACCTCAGGTAATCCACCCACCTCTTAACCATCTCTTTGGTGCCTGGGCTGGGATACCTGGAATGCTAGGCTCAACTGAAACCTACATGTGGGCTCTTCTTGTAGCTTGGGCTTCTCACAACATGGCAGCTGCGCTCCAGATATCCCAACAGGGAACATCTAGAGAAGATGTGTTCCAAGAGAATGGGGAGGAAGCTGCAGAAGCTTTTCTGATTCAGCCTCAGAAATTATACTATGTCACTTCTGCTGCATTTCATTGGTTATACATGAGTTGCTAAGACCAGCCCAGATTCAAGGGAAAGGAATTAGGCTCCACCTCTTGGTGGGGAAGTGACAAGGTAACATTACAGAAGAGAATGATGAATGAGAAATATTATTGCAGGCACCATTGGAAAATGCCATTAACCATGGTGCCCAGGTACTGCCACCATACCTAGGGTAGAGACAATACCCAATGCTTACTAAGAATTTACTAAGCGGCAAGCACAGAGCTAACCAGTTTATATGAATGGTCTCATTTCATTCTCATAACTCTATGAGGCAGCTATCATCTTTATACTCCTATAACAATGTAGAATAGAGAATCAAGAGGGTAAGTGACTTGCCCAAGGTCCCCCAGCTAGCAAATGAAGGAGCTGAGATTCAACCCCAGGCCTGCATGAGCCTCGACATACTTAATAATGTGCTGTTTTGCCTACAACTTCCCTTTTCCTCTTCCACCCTGTCCCCTTTCTGCCTGTCCTTGAGAAATTCTTCTGTCTTTCAAGAAATATCCTGCTCTTTATTTTCACCTGATTTCACCTAGAAGCATGGAATTTAAGAGCATTGTCTCTACTCTCATAGGTAAAGCAGGGAATACAACCCCAATCTGACAGATGGGAAAACGAAGGGCCATAGAAGGAAAGTAACTTGCTAAGGTCACACTCAAGGTCATTGGCTCAAATTACTAATCGGTTTATGGGTTGCACATCACCCTTGAACAGTACCTTGACCGGGCCTCCCTGTGATATATGAGGGTAGGGTCTCTGCTGCCCTTTATGCCTCACCATGACCGGCTTTTCTCCTCTACCCCGGTCCTGTTCGAGGATTCCCTCTGTCTCCAGTCGGGCTGCTCCCATGGCTGTCAGACACATAAATGATGGGTTCCTTGGCCCCTGTTTCTTCCCGTCTCTCCCAATCTCCCTTTCCTTTACCCCAATCCAGCTTTGGCCTCCCGAGCTATCTCATCTCCTTCCCAGTGGGGGATTGTGGCATGTCCAGAGAGTGTCCAGCCCTGAGAACTGTTTACACTAGAGATTAGCATTTATCTCTATCCTTTCAACCTCTCTCCCCATGCTCAGTGCTGCTGTCTGCATCAAGGATGGAGGAGCAGCCCCCAGAGATGAGAGCCAGCCAGGCTGGGGTTACCTCCCTGGCATCTGCATCCCCTGAACCCTCTTTCCCACCATCTTTGGGATCAGTCCTCCTGTTCTTGTTCAATCTCTGAAAATCTTGCGGTTTCTGGATAAATGCCAGTGACCCCCTAAAAAGGTAAGCCTGTACCTTCTTTTTGAAGAGGAGTTTTACTTGTGGGTATTTGAGCCATGTAAGCCCTTTTTAACCCACAAAATATACTAGGACCCTTATTCTACAGAAACTCTCACATGTCTATGCAAAGGTAAAAGCATATTCATTTTAATATTTTTTGTTGAAAGAATGAAAATGTAGGAAAAAAATATATCTTCGTCAATAGCAAATAGCCTGACTAAACTCTGCTCCATCCATACTCTGGACTAGTAGGCAGTCATTAAAGAAATGAGGTCATCCTGCGTGTTCCAATCTGAGAAGATGTTCAGATTATATAGTGTTTTCTTTAGGGCCCCAGAAGGACACTGATGGCACATTTAAACTGAGTCATTTAAAAAGAGTTAAACAAAGGGTCTATTTGTAAAGGTGTGAGCAGGGTTTAAAGAAACCAACAAGGGGCAGTGTAGCAACATGAGGGAGCTGTTACCGCTGTAGGCCGGAGGGGGAAGAGGAGCTGGGGTGCCTCATTAGCCAAACCCAGCCAGAAACTAGAGAGCAAGGGAGTGTAATGATGCAGTTCCCCAGGGTGCAGAGCGGGGTAGAGAAAGGTAGAGATAGATATACATGGGCAGAAAGAATTAATCCAGCACACAGAGCTAAAAGAAGAAGAAAAAAGAAAACTATATATGCAGGATATTTTCTTTTATGTAAAAACATAGAAATGAAAGGAAAACCAATTCCCTAAGCTGTGTATCTGAATGGATATACGGTGCAAAGGTGCAACCATGTTCATTTTAATGTTCTTTGTTGAAAGAATGAAAAATTAGAAAAAATATATTTGTCAATAGAAGATAGCCTAAACTAACCCCCAAACTATATACCCATAGATATATCAATAGATATATCTATATGAATATGTATCTATATGGAAATATCTATGGATATCTGTCTAGCCATAGAGATGTATCTATAGAAAATAGAAAATAGCCTGAACCAACCCTCCAAACTATATATCCATAGTTATTCATAGGCTAGATAGATATGTATCTATATGATATATCTATAAATATATATCTATCCATATAGATACATCTATGGATATATATCTATCTTTCCATATAGATATATCTATGGATATATAGTTTGGGGGGTGGTTCAGGCTATTTTATATTGATAGAGGTATATTTTATCCTAATTTTTTATTCTTTCAACAAAGAATATTAAAATGAATATGCTTGTACCTTTCACAGACATGTGAGAGTTTCTGTAGAATCAGGTTCCTAGTATAGTTTCTGGGTTAAAGGTCTTACACAGCTCAAATACCCACAAACTATTTTATATATAGTTTCGGGGTCTCTCTCATTTTGTATATATAGATGTAGAGAAAAGGGCCTGGGTGGATAAAGAACAAATTGTTAATGGTAGTTACTCTAGGGAAACAGAAGGAGATATAGGAACATGTTCCTACTTCTGTATTATCTTTTTTTCTATTATCTAAATTCAATATTAATAAGGTGCATTCTCTTGTTTCCTTCCTCCCTTCTGCTCTCAATTTTTGCCTGAACTCCCACGTCTTCTCTTCAGATGGGCACTCGCTCCACACCACAGGTGGCTAAAAATATTGTGTGTGGGGGGCGTCCTTCAAGGGACTTTGGGTGAGGCTTGAAGGAACGCCCACTAGCTGGGAGGGAGGGATGAAACCCTGGACTTTTAGAAAGTCCACTTCAATTCCATGCTCTACAGCCAACTGGGTAGCTTCCCTTGGGCAACTGGCTTCAGTCTTCTGGTCAAAGGCAGTAATAACAGTATATGCATCCGGATGTTTACAAAGACACTACTTGAAAATGCAGTTGGCATGGTGGCTGGCACCTGGATGGTGCTCATCAAGTGTCATGACATTCATTTCTAATCTCCAGGAAATTAGTGGTTTCTAGAAGATGTTCACATTCATCCTTTTGGCTTTAATGGAGGAAAAGATGTCCAAGGCAGGCTGCTGACAACACAGCACTCTCTGTGCTCTTTGTCTTTAAGTCCCCCATGTCCCATGCTCTCCTGATCTCCTGCAGATTCAAAGGCCAGCAGGCAGAGTCTCACAGTGCGGCAGACCCTAACTGGCTCCCTAGCTCCCACCCATCTGATAGGACACAGCTGTCCATGGGGGGAGAAGGCACATTAGATAAGACAGTCAAACAAAGGCTACACTTTGTATATTTGATTTGTCTGACCTAATTCCCAGGCCCCACAGGAACAGGTTCAGGGCTGGGGATGGGGTGAAGAAGAGGGCATGGTTTCCATCTCTCTCCTGAGACTGTCCTGATCTTTCCTGGAACCTTGGCTGTTTCACTGGGGATGACCATTCAAGAGCTCTGAATCTGCAAGCCAATGGCCATGAGTTCAGATGCTGATTGTGTCTCCATGTGACATTGCACAAGTTGAGTCACCTCTTCAAGACTCAATTTTCTCAGTAGGTAAAATGGGCCCAATAATGCCCATCTTAGAACATATGAGATTTTGTGAGCAAGATGTGTTTAACAATAAGTCTGATGGGTTCTTTGTCATCCTGCATCTTTTTTTTAAATTTTTTTTTAATTTTTTATTTTTATTTTTTGGCCTTCTAGGGAGGAAAGTTAGGATATTTAGCTCTGTGGGGCCTGAATCCCTCTCAGTAGCCCTATGAGCCCAACTAAGCCAGGCTGATGGATCACTGATTTTGTCCTGCAACCCCTTCATTGGATTACCCAGGAAAGTCAGGTTTGGCCTCATGCAGGTGGGAGTAAAGGCCATTGTCCAGGTCCAGGGGGATTCCTCCCTGAAAATCATCTGCTTCTTCCCCAAACTGATAAAGCCATAAGCAATGAAATGTCATGGGCATAAGAGGGATCAATCATGCAAGAAAAAATAAGCACCATTCTCAGACCTGAAACTAGATGAAAGGAACTCAGAAAATATATAATATATGTATTTTTTGTGTTTTCTGAGTTCCTTTCATCCTTCCTTTACATAATATATGTGAAAATACATATATTATGTATTTTTATAATGGCATTTTGTGGGGTAAAACATGCTTTTTTTTTTTTTTTTACAAACTTAAAATGGCTTTTAAATGAGTCCTACTTTGACATTTTAAAATTGCCAGAAGGCTCATAAACACACAAATAATACAGGCAATACCTGCCAGAACAAGTAGATTTATCACCTGTACCAAAAGAAGTTAATAAACAAAACGCTGATCTTAGAAAGGACTAGAAACCTACGTACATTTGTACCCCCAAATCAGATTCCCAGGTGCTTAAACGTTGTGCGACATATGATTGTATTACAATGAGTTATATCTTTTTTAAAAACGTATGTGTCATACTTATGAAATTTGTTTAGCCTCCATCTACCATAGAATGCCAAGTGCCTGAGGGCAGATTCCCGGTTCATTTCCTTCACCTCTAAATCACCAGCACCTTGGACAGTGCCCGACACAATGTAGTTACTCAATAAATTTCTTGTATGAAAAATAAATCATCTGTTTATGGGTCCCTTTTCTTTAGCAATTATTTTGTCCTTCTGTATTTACGCTACCCAAGAGATGAAAGAGTGAGTGATTCAGCTTTGAGCCTCCAGAACCAGGGATCTGCTACACAACAGCTGTGTGACTTAAGGCAAGCAGCTTCACCTCTCTGAGCTTTGGGAATTGGTTAGAGTCTTATTTTGAAATAGAGCATCCTTTCTCAAGAGTATAGCAAGTATAAACGAGCAATTTAAGGAGCAATGATAAAATGGACACCAATGCAACAGCATCTGAAATATCTCAGATGTCCCTCAGGGCCCCTCCTCCCTTGCATTCTTCTTCCTCCCCACCCACATTGAGAAGGAACTGCTACCCTGATTTTTTTTGTAACAATCATTCTCTTACTTTTCTTTCTCATTTTACTACACATCTCTGTTTCCTAACAATATATGGCCCTTATTTTGCTTTTCTGCAGTTTATATATATGGAAACGGGCTTATGCATCCCTCTGTGAGTTGCATTTTGTCTTCACATTATGTCTTTAGGAGTCTTCCCCTGTTGAAGCATGCAGCTGTAATACATTCATTTTTCACTGTTGATTGGTGTTCTAGTATGTGGATATGCCACACTTTAATTGTCCATTCGGCTGATGATAGACCTTTGGATTGATTCCCAGTCATTGCTTTACAAATGATGCTACTATGAGCATTGCCCTGTGTGTCTCCCAGAACATACACAAAAGAGTGTCTTTCAGGCACACGCCTAGGCCTCAGATTTCTGGCTTATAGGGTGTGTGCACAATCAGCCTCAGCGGGCAACGCCATCCTGTTCCCCAGGTGGATTGCATCCATTTACAACCCACCAGCACTGGTTGAGCCCCTTGTTGTTTCACATTCTCATCAATGCTGGCAATTAGAGCTAGAGTTTCTTTATCCATAAATTAGGTGTATTATCTCCTGCCTCAAATCGTTCTAGTGACAGTTCCATGAGAAAACACATGTCAAGGCTGTGCTCCACAGTAAGGCTGTGTTGAGCCCAAGATATTTCTTCAGGGGCTGCAGGAGTAGACTTTCCTGTCCAAACAATGTTGGTCTAAGCTGCATAAATGTTAGGTACCCATCACTAGAGGCAATTAGGAACAATGCACACAGCAGAGATGCAAATATTAATTTAATTATTAAGGGAGGAGGACTGAGTGAAGAAAGAGGCCTCATTGGGGTAACTAGTGATTAATAAGAAGTATCGATCACTTTTTTGGCCCTTAAATTGTTCTAAGATTGACAAGCATTGTCTTATTGATCCTCTGGACAGCCTATGAGGTAGGTATCACCATAATATCCCTGTGACCGACAAAGAAATCAAGGCAGAGAAAAATTATAAAACTCATCCAGAGCCACAAAATAAATTGTCTCAAGAAACCTCTATCTAAACCACCTTATACCACCTCTCTCCTGAAGGGGAAACTTGACTCTTAAACCAAGATAAACATTGAAATTTATGAATGTCAAAATTACACTTTGGCTATCATTGAGAAAGGAATGATATGGCCCATCTAGATCCATTGCTTATGTAGGGGCCAAGGGAAAGCTTCTCCTTGTCTCTCTGAAGGTTCACTGAAAAATCAACTGACAAAAGGAAGATTAATTGGAGAGAAGGCATACAAATTTATTAGCATGAACACAGGAGAGAACTGCAGAGTAATTACTCACAACACCCCAGTAGGATATAGTAGCTTATATACTATCTTGAGGTTATAGAAAGAATGGGGGCTTGGATTATGGCACAACAAATTATGGGAGGGGAAGAAGAGGAGGCCTGGCTATCATAGGTGCTCCTGCTGTTTAGATAAAACCTCACAGTTAGCAGGTCTCAGAGAAAATAGATGGCAGATGTTCCTTTCAGACCTTTAAAAAGTGTCAAACTCTGATATGGTTTGGCTGTGTCCCCACCCAAATCTTATCCTGAATTATAGTTCCTGTAATCCCCACGTGTTGTGGGAGGGACCCGGTGGGAGGTCATTTAATCATCGGGGCGGTTACCCTTATGCTGTTTTTGTGATAGTGAGTTCTCATGAGATCTGTTATTTTTATAAGGGGCTTTTTTCTCTTTTGCTTGGCACTTCTCCTTGCTGCTGCCATGTGAAGAAGGACGTGTTTGCTTCCCCTTCTGCCATGATTGCAAGTTTCCTGAGGCCTCCCTAGCCATGCAGAACTGTGAGTCAATTAAACCTCTTTCCTTTATAAATTACCCGGTCTTGGGTATATCTTTATTAGCAGTGTGAGAATGGACTAATACAGACTCTCAGTTCATCTTTCCTAGATTCAGAGAAGGGAAGACCTCAGAGAAGACCTGGCTGCATCAATGCAGATTTTCTGTACAAGTGCAAATGTCCCCTCCCAGAAGACAGGTTTATAGGCCTTCTTCTGTTTGCAGGACCTCTGACCATCTGTCTCAAAATATGTTTTTTAAAAAAGAGTATATTTTGGGGTGAAATATTTTTTCTTTCAGTTACATAATTCTTTTGTGATATGTGTGAAGGTGGCTATAATGGCTTTGCCTTGGGTAGAGAAGACTAGCCAGGCAGCCACTGTCATTTTCAGGAAGGTGGGAAATGAAAAAGTTAAATGGAATCAGATCAGATCTGCATTACATTTAAAAGAATTCTCCTGTGTGTGGTTAGGGAAAGAGAGAGAGAAAAGCAGATTCAATAGTACAGTTGGTTCCTCCCACCCCTCTATTTACTGAGTGTCCACCCAGTGGGAAGGTAAGAGGGGAGATGTATCAATTGGGGTCCTTGCAGGAAACCAATGACAAACCTAGGGGTTGTTTGAAAGGAGTTAAAATGAAGAAGGTTTGCAGAAAAGTGAGCAGGATTAAGGAAAACAACACAGGGAGGTAATGAACCCCGGGATTATTAACAATGGGGAGCAGTTACTACCCTCAGTCGGAAGAGGCAGGAAGGGAACAGTGATACCAGGACCCACAGAGAGCCAGAGCTGCAGCATACTGGAAGGCAGCCACTGCCAAACCACAGCCCACCAGGCAGGGAATAGAGGGAACAAATATCTCTCTTCTTCTTCCCTCCCACTCTCCAAGACAGACAGGAATTACTTAATGCATCTGGTCTGCTGCTGGTGACTCCTTTTGGCCAAATTTAATCAGAAGCCAGAGGGCAAGGGAATCCAGCTTTCTTAGGCCATTGTGGTCAACTTCTGAGAGCAGAGTGGGCAAGAGTGAGGAATGGACCTGATGAGCTCTCTGTTTGCACGGGCCTCTCCTCTTGTGATCCTCACTGGGTTTGAGTATGACTCAAGAGTTTAAAGATGTTTATTGTAATACAACATGACCCCGAAGTTTGTCAAGCCTATTGCTTCACTGATGCTCACACAAAAAGCAATATAGTCCAACTCTGGGGAAGAAAAATAACCTGTTAGGCCTGATTGAAAGAATATATGTTGGTGACCAAACTGGCACTTTCTAAGAAATTTCCATGAGTCACGTTGATTTTAGAAGGTGCCCATTGCATTCGAAGAGACTGCTAAACAGGTTTAATGAAGAGGAAGAGATGGTAGATAACTATATATGGATTTGTAAAAATGTTCTGGGATACCCCAAGATGCAAAAATTCAGTATAATCCCAAGAATGACTCAGCGCATTCAGCAGAACCCCAGAGTCTCATATGCCAGCCCAGAAATGGGAAGAAACCATCAATGGTCGCCAAGTTGGAAATGGATTTTGCAGATGAGGTTGCCCCATGAAGTAATTGTCAGCGTCTGACTGCAGCTGACACACGTGAGGGTTGATGTGACTGTGTGGCATCTTCTTCTAAAGAAAGTGCTGCACTGTGCTTAGCACCGTTTCTATGAAGTGGGGGCCCTGACTCTATCACTTGCAATGGCGGGTGCTGCGATGATTAGATGCTGGGAGCTGAAGGCTACAGAGAGCCTTCAGCTGCCAGCCCCTTTGGGATCCCATCAGCTTCAGAGAGCCTATGATCACACTCTTCCAAGAGTGATCAGCATCTAATAATCAATGACAGATGGAGTATAAAGGCTTGGCTGTTTGGGCCCAACTTGAGACAAATTTAAAGGGCCATCTTACTCCAGAGCCTTCATTCAGTCAAGTAAGTTTTTGAGCCTTAGGCACAGCTCAACTTCCACCTACCCTTGCATCCTCTGCCTCTTCCCTCCCACTGACATTAAGAATACCCTCTCATACAAAGTTCTGCATGACAAACTCTGTCTTAGAATTGGCTTTTCAGACAGCCCAACCAGCAACATTGACTAACTGTGTTGACTTTGGACAATTTACCTAATCTCTCTATGCCTTGTTTCCTTTTCTGTAAGACAGGGGTGAGAAAAGGGCTTACCTCATCAGCTTATTGTGAACATTAACTGAGATAATATACGTAAAGTGTCTAGCACAGTGCTTAACATGCAGCAAGCACTCAATAATTGTTACTTAGTATTGTTTTGACTGGCTTTCTACCCCCGAACACATCATGGTGGGAGGGGTTCTGCTGAATGGTAGTCATTTCAAGAAGTTCTAATAATATCTGAGCATTGCTCATATCTCCTTGGGACAGATATTTTCCATGTGCCCTCTAGGTCTACTCCCTACCCTTCTTCATCTGGTTCTGTGCCTGGGAGGTGAACTTGTGTAGATAGCACCAATGGGCTCCCAGGCACACTAGCTTCTGGTTGGGTTCAGCCAATAGGAAGCTCCACTGGGAAGTAGGAAAATAGGAATAGAGTTAGATCGGGATGTTTACTTTGGGGAGTTTGCCTTGGGCTGAATGTGACCTCGACCAAGGGTCATCACTCCTCTCAAGTAGCCACCTTCACATGAATTTTTCCATGAGTTCCAATAACTGCTACTTCCTCTCATCTCTTTAAACATAGGACACCCTTCCCCTCACAAATTTGCTATTATTATTCACAAAACATTCCCTAACACTTATAGCAACCCTACATCCTACTCACACTTTTATTAAGTAGTCTTATTAAATTCTTCTCAAATTATCCAATTTGTGACAGCATTTTTTTCTTCTGGGAAATAATCCTGAATGGATTATTCAACAAAATTTACTTAGCCTATGTTGTGGGCTAAACAATATGCTGAACGTCTTCATGGGCTTAAATCAAGTCAATCTTTAAATGCCATAACATGATGGTCTTCAAATCCTCCAGGCTTGAGCAAGAAGAGCAAATTCACCTACTTGGGAAAACTGGGTCTGTTAGTTCAATTCACACTGAGACGCTAATGAGCTACCCACATTCTCCTTCTTTCAAAGGCATTTCCATTCCCAAACTCTGCTGGGGAACAGGAGTGATCCTGTTCTTGGCTTTCTCCACCAAGCACTGTGCAGAATTTAGAAGTTGAAACCTAGTCAACATAAATTGTAGCTCCAATTATTTTTATAGGGCCAGCTGTTCTTTCCCCATAAATGAAGACTGAGGAGGAAGAGAGTAATGCTTAAGCCAAAGTTATTCATTTCTTGCTGGTAGAATGTTAGGCAGTGTAACCCCTGAGTTGGAAAAAACATTTTGTGGTAGAGTACAGCCTTCCTGCACAACTCCACTTATTGCCACACTTCACTGATACCACTGGGGAAGAAGGACCCCAGAACAGCCAAGTAGAAGCAGAGTCCATGAGGCAAATCCCAAGTTTATTTGTCCTGAAGCATGACACTTATTAATCTCAGCTGAGATGGAGCCAACCTAATCCACTTCAAGAAGGGTCCAAAGAGGGCTGTTCCCTTCCCCTTGAGGAAAACCTGTCCCTTGTCCAAGATCCAACTTCCTTCCTGTAAAGCGTGAAGTTGCGATGGAAACAGTCAACCGTGTTTATTTTGCCTGTAATACAGCCCTGGCCAAGGGAATGAGCACTGGATAAAATGGTGTGTTCCAGAGGCAGCTGCCCTGAGATCTGGATCTGAGATCTGAGAATGCAACTGTGGCTACTTGGTGAAAGTGGATGGCACTGGGAGAGTTTGGGGTGTTCACGTCCTTGCCTTGCAAGTAACATCGAAGACTTAGTAGCCCACGGGACCATTGTACCAGCCTCTCCTGGAACGTGCTTCAGAAAATCAAAACAAAACAAACAAAATTGATGGGTATAATTGTTCAAGATAGAGGTTCAGCTGTTATTGCAAAGCCCAAAATAAATAGGGCTTAAATAAGATATGAATTTATTTCTCTCCTCTGTTATAGTCTGAATATAGTGATCCAGTGTTGGGGTTGCTCTTCAGAGTGGGAGATTCAGGCTCTTTGCCTTAAGTTTCTCTGCCAAACTCAACATATGTCTTCCCCACCATGGTCTAGGAAGGCTGATGTTCACTCAGGGGAAGGGGGAAGAGGAAGTGGAGGTTACACCCCTGCTCTTTGGTAATACAACCAGGAAGTTGTACATGTTACTCCTTCTCACATCCTATTGGCCAGAATTTAGTCACATGGCCATGGATACCTGCAAGGGACAATGGGAAATATAGTTTTTATCTGGGTGGCCATGACACCACCTGCAACTTAGGATTTTATAAACAACTCTCTGTCAGTGCAGCAGTCTAATATGGTGGTTTAAAGTGTAGATTTTGGAGGCAGGCAGTCCAGGGTCTGACTCCAGTTCCTCAACTTTCTTCCTATGATCAATGGATACTGAGACAGAAATATCCACCGTGACCCCTGGGGTCAGGAGAGGGAATATGTGGGAGGGTAACGGGAGGATATTTGTGAGATGGGATGTCACCTGATCAGAGAAGAGTGCGAATGCCTGGCTAAAGTCCCGTGGGCACTGGGGAGCCGTCAAATTTATTGAGCAGGACAGAAGGAACATAACCAAGGCTTGAATGGAAAATAGCGGTTTTAGTGGGACACTTCCTGGCTTGGTGTGGTCCATGAGAGAGCCTCATGACTCTTCATGACAGCTATATGGGCAAGACACTAACCAAACCTCTTAGGGGCTTGACCTGTCATTAGCCCTCTGTGAGGAGTCCATGGTATAGAGCAGGGGTCAGCTTTCTTTATAAAGGGCCAAATAGTAAATATTTTAAGCTTTGTATGCCAAATGATTTTGTTTGCAACTACTCAACTCTGCCATTGTAATGTGACAGCAGTTATAGACAACATGCAAACAAGTGAGCATGGCCATGTTTCAATAAAACTTTATTTACAAAAATAAGCAGCAGACCACTTTGACCCACAGACTGTAGTTTATCAATTCCTGTCATAGAGAATTTTTAAAGTATCCATCCATTCTGCTGTAAAATAAAAATTCTACTAAATACAATTCTTAAGAATGTGTCTTACTGTCTTATCTTCATGTTCCACTGTGCCCTCCCCATACCCAAGGTCATATTCTGGGTTGGGGGGCTTAAAGTTTATACTATTCAGAAGGCTACTTAAGGAAAAGAAAACAAAATTATGGATGCAAAATTAGGTATAAAAGTAGCCATTTATTTAGCATGAGAAAAGAGATTACAACAAATTTTTGAAACCTCACAAATCTCATAAATGGCACAAAATCCATTAAAATAACACAAAGTTTTTATTAATGAACTGCCTGACACACTGTTTAATATTTTTTCTACATTTTTGGAGGGTTGCATACTCTGCCTCTTCCTATAACAATTATTACTTTTCTAATATTCATGCAAGAGAATTTAATCTTTCCTCTAACAAGATTTTTCCTCCACTCCCCATATATTTCTGGGGTGAGGTGACACAGAACATGTTCATACCACAAACTGGGCAATAGGCATATTCCTAGAAGCCACTAAGACAGCCTGGCAATAACTTAACTATACACAGAATAACTGCAAACCACAGAAAAATATACCACTAAACCAAAACTAAACATATTACCAATTCAACTTCCCCTTAGATGGAACTCCAAAATGCCTGAGGCCACAACTGACAGGAGGGAAAGTATAATGAAGAGGAAGAGGAAGTTGGAGTAGAAAGAGAAAAGGGTCTTAACTCTTCCTTTTACAAATTTTACAAAACATATGGCCATGCACACACACTGCTGGGCCCTCCCCAGCACAGAAAGGGACTTACGGGTCTTGGGGACTCTGACGTCTGTGCAACCCGGTAAATCTACCTGTGTTCCAAAATGTTAAGCCCCTTATATGTGTGCACTAAGGAATGGCTGCATTGGCACAGGAGTCCTAGACTCCCAGACTTTGTGCTCCACCCTGGAATAGCATCCAGTTTCATGGCAGGCTCAGTTTTTTTCCAAGGAAATTAAATATGAGCAGCCCACACTTTGCAATAAAATCAAGGTTATGCAAAAAAGGAATTCTGCTCTGGCTTCCAGGAATCCCCGTGGAAAATGTATATGTGTCCATTTATAAAGAAAAAAATTAATACACCAAACAATCTCATTAAAAGAAACTTCCAAATGTGTTCCAACGAAACCTATCCCAGAGTCAGCAAGTTCTCCCGCCTCCCACTTCAGAGGCACAGAGATTTCAAGTTCTGGTTTAAATTTACATGCTGTCTTTTCTGATGGGAATTTGAAAGTTGCGGGGGAAAATACACACCAAGTGTGTATTAGGATTAGGAAACATCCGCAGAATCTATTTCCTGAATTTCATAAACAGAGGAGATAAATTATCACTGAGAAGGCAGCAAACCAAAAACCAGCATCTTGCTTCAAAGAGGGGATCACAGATAACTGGGAGGGAAGATCTCTCTTAACTCTGTTTCAAAAATCCCAGGAGAAACCAAACCTCAAAAAAATTTGTCTGTGTCAGAAGCTAAAAGTGGAGGAGAGGAGGATCAGGTCCTGTGAATAACTTTTCCAAAACTGAGGCCTTTCCAGCTGTTGTTAGGACTATGATCAAAAAGAGATTGGAAAACTCAGTGTGAAATATTTTATAGCAACATAAATGATTTGACTATGAAATTACAGGGAAAGTAGGTAGGTAAGATATAGACTAAGCCACTTTAACAAAGAGACCCCTCATACAGTGGCTGGAGCATGGTAAAAGTTTAGTCTTTACGAAAGTAGAAACCTGGCTATGTGGTTTCTAGCCACATAGCTATGGCTTCCTCCCATCTGTGGCTCTGCCATGGCTAATGTGTGGCGTCCATCTTGTGACCCAACATGGCTGCCCCGGCTTTAGACATCAAGACTGCATTCCAGCCAGTGAGAAGCACAAAGTAGGAAGGTCAGCACACATTTCTTCCTTTCACGGGCATTATCTTGAAGTGGCAGGCATCATTTCTGCTTGAACTTAATCACATTGTTACATCTAGCTGCAGGGGTGGCTAGAGAATGTCATCTTTATTCTAATTAGCCAAGTGTCTAGCTAAATCTGGAGGGTCTATTACTAAGGAAAGGGAAGAGAGGTGTTTAGAGAGATCGAACATTTTCTGCTATGGTAATTGAATGGGGATATCTTTTATACATACTTGTCCTTCCCCACTGGCTAATAATGCAGATTTTGCTCCCCTCACTTCTTAGGCATCCTGATTCTTTCATTTAATATATTTTTTAGTTTCTAACAGGTCCCAGATGCCATTCTTGCAACAAAGTCCCTGTTCCATTGCATGTACATCCTACTGCGTGGACTAAAAAGTAAACAAACAGGCTGGGTGTGGTGGCTCATGCCTGCAATTCTGGCGCTTTTGGAGGCTGAGACAGGAGGACTGTTTGAGCCCAGGATTTCAAGACCAGCCTGGGCAACATGGTGAAACCCCGTCTCTACAAAAAATACAAAAATTAGCCAGGTGTGGTGGTGCACACATGTAGTTCCAGCTACTCGAGAGGCTGAGGTGGGAGGATTGCTTGAGTCCAGGAAGTGGAGGGTGCAGTGAGCTGATTGTGCCACTGCACTCCAGCCTGAGTGACAGAGTGAGACCCTGTCTCAAAAAAAAAAAAAAAAAAAAAAAAAATAATAATAATAATAATAATCAAACGAATAAGGTTTTAAAAGAAGAATTATGAGTGCTGCTAAAATTACATAACAAGGTGATATAGTAATGAGAGTCATAGGGATTATTTTGGACACAGTGTTCCTGGAAAGTCTCTCTAGGGGAGGAGGGTGAGATTTAAGTAGAGACCGCTTAAAAGAGTATGAAAGAGGCAGTCGACTGTAATCCCAGCATTTTGGGAGGCTGAGGAGGGAGGATGACGAAGTCAGGAGATCAAGACCATCCTGGCCAACATGGTGAAACCCCGTCTCTACTAAAAATACAAAAATTACTCTGGCGTGGTGGCACGCACCTGTAGTCCCAGCTATTTGGGAGGCTGAGGCAGAAGAATCACTTGAACCCAGGAGACAGAGGTTGCAGTGAGCCAAGATCGTGCCACTGCACTCCAGCCCAGGGACAGAGTGAGGCTCCATCTCAAAACAAAACAAAACAAAACAAAACAAAACAAAACAAAACAGAGTCAGTCATGGGAAGTATGGGGAAGAGGACTCTAGACAGAGGAAAAAGCTGGTGCAACAGACCAGAGGTGGGGATGAACACAGCTTGGTCAAGGACTAGAAACAGGCCATGGTAGCTGGCAGGTAGGAAGCAAGGGAAATGAAGCTGAAGAGGTAGCCAAGGGTTAATTCACATGGGGCCTTGAAGGGCATAGTGAGGAGCCTGCTATGACTTTTCTTCCTGGGGTAGGGCCACATAAATAGTTGGTTCCTGGCTAAGCTGACCTTGTAGAAGTTGCTAACTTTGAAGAGGAAAGAGCTAAGGGCATGTTGGATTATGAATCCCTGATTGGGTTTCACCAATATGTGTCCATTTTGTAGAGTGTTCTGTTCTCCGGGAAAACATTTCCACTCTTCTTGTCATTCCTTTCCCATCAGAGCTCTCAGAGGAAATAAGGGCAGGTGGAAGTATTCCCACTTGAAAAATAAGCATAACCTCAGAAAGGTTAAGTGGCCATTCCAAGATCACACAGCAAATAACTGAGAGTAGAAGATTGAAACTTGTCTTTAGTTTCAAAACAATCTGTCTCATATCTACTCCCAAAAGAAATCAGGCATAAAGAGAAACAAACAAAAAATAATCACTGCACTTAAACCAGATGCACACATTTTTCTTATGTAGATATATATAAGCACATATATACATACATCCAGATAGATAGGTAATATAGATAGAATTGTTACAAAAGTGTACGTTCCAAATGGAAAACTTGGAAAACACAGAAAAGTACAATGAAAAAAATGCAGTTGGTCCATAATCATTTCACTCTATAATGGCAATGGTAAAATATCCTTCCAAGGTATTTTATGGCTATACAAGCAATATTTTTTTTTACAAAAATGAGATCAAATTGCACATAATGTTTTACAGCTGGTCTTTTCACTTTTTCATATATTGTAAACATTTTCTCATATTATTAAATATTTTTCTATCACATGATTTTGAATGATTGCCCTGAGTTTAATCACTTGATTCTAGAAGAATTTACTCAAATCTCCTTTATTCTTGGACATGTAAGTTACTCTAAACTCCTTACCTTGGTCTGCAAGGACTCACATTATGTGGCTTCTGCCTATGCACCAACATCCTATAGCCACTTCTCCCTAACCATACCTCCCATACCCTTTGTACCTCAACCTCTTGTCTTCTTTGAATTCCCCAAATACTCTATGCAGTTTCTTACCTCAGGACCTTTGTACATGCTGTTCTCCCATTCTTCCAACAAGTGGCTCCTGATTGAATAAATGAATGAAGGAGCCTGTCTGACTCCAAAAAAAAATCTGTGTTACTACCCACAGACACCACCATAGCTTTGCAGCAAAACAACCACTACATTTGTACTGGCAGTGAGCAGCAGCTAGGCAGTAGGGAGGAGGGCTTGGGGGAGATTCAATAGACTCAGTTCCTTTTGTCACAGTGATTTCAGGATTTTTCCCATTTCAGTTGATTATAATACCACTATAGACTGCTGGAAAGGCCTGCTTACCATAGAGGCTCAAATATGTACTGATACTTAATAAGTATCTATACATGCATATCGTGTACTGAACATTTCCCATTTGCCCCTAAAGAGCCTCTCTCCATCTCCTCCATCCTGCCATATGTCCCAGGATCTGACTCTATGGACTGTGTCAACATGCTCCCTTGCCCTCTGGCTTCCTGTTGAGTTCTTCCAGTGCGTGATACCAGCAGAAGTTCAGAGCACAGAAGGAAAATAAAATCAGGGTGTTAATTCTCCTAGCCTTGTAGCTTCCTCACTGCAGTGCTGCTATTGATTAGTGGGGTCTCTCCATCTATAGTTGACAGGTGACACCTGGCAGATGTGTCCCTCTTCACATAGCCTGTCTTTCCAGGTCCTAGTGGACTACTTCAGAATCGGGGGTGGTAATGGCTCCCCACTTGTGCTGGGTTGTTCTTTTGTCAACTTGATTGTGCTAGGAACTACATTTCCCAGAATTCTATTCCCATATTGTTCCAGATTAGAACTTGGGTAAGATACAGGAGGTGAAAGTGAGGTGGCAGCCATTACCCTTTGAATGTCATTGTTGGTTAGAGGCTGAAGGAAACAGACACAGAGGTGCCCATGGGTTCCAATTTATACTCCCTCTTTTCTGTTCTGTGTCCAGCTCTCCTTCTCAAAGGATCTGCTGACCCAAAAACCACCTCAAGCCCACAGCCAAATGTTTTGCTGTAGACTCATAGAAATGGTAGCCATGAAGAACCAACAACCTTCCATAGACTTCTACAGTGATCTTCCTTTGCAGTTTCACTCTAGCAATGGGAATGACCTAGCTTAAGATTTCCCTGCAAGCTTCAACTCATTCACTCAGGACTAGTGAGTGACCCATCTCTGCTGTTTTAACTCTCCTTTCAGACCTTACTTTCCCCAGCAACTGCCACAATGGTGTAAGGTCTAACTGCTGTAATAAATTCCTTATTCTATAATACTCATAGTGGTTCTACTTTCCTGAGTGAATACAGACTGATATATCATCTATGATTATCTGTGTGAAAGTAAATACATAGGACACACACAGACACACACGCACAGGGGTATATATGACACTGACAATTGCCTGAATATAGTAGTCCTCCCTTATCCACAGGGCATATATTTCTGAGACCCCCATTGGATGCCTGAAACTGTGGATAGCAGCCAACCCTATATATAGATATATATTATGCTTTTTTCTTATACATAGCTACAATAAAGTTTAATGTATAAATGAGGCACAGTAAGACATTAACAACACTAGCTAGTAATAAAATAGAACAATTATAGCAATATGCCAGAGTCAACATTTTTGTGCTTCAGGGCCATTATAAAGTAAAATAAGGGTTACTTTTCAACACAAACCCTGCAATGCCATGATAGTGGCTCTCATAACCAAGATGGCTGCTAAGTGACTAACAGAGGGGTAGCAAACACAGAGTGGATATGCTAGACAAGGGGATGATTCACATCTAGGATGGAGCACGATGGTGTGAGATTTGATCATGCTACTCAGAATAGTGCACAATTTAAAACATATGTATTATTTCTTGAATATTTCATTTAATATTTTCAGGTTGCTGTTGGCCATGGATAAGTGAAACCAAGGAAAATAAAACTGCACATAAGGGGTCACTACTGTACCTATTGAAATGTGACAGAAACTGCTATTTGCCTCTCACTATCCATTCTCTTCATCTTCCTTAGTAAAGAAATCCCTCAAATTTTAGCTAAGAAAGTGGTCTTCTACCTAAAGACATGTTTCCCAGCCTCCTTTGCAGTTGGTTGGGTCATGTGACTAAGTACAGGCCAATGAGATGTAAGAAGAGAGAACAAGCCTGAGTGCATGACACCACAGAGCCACCATTTCAGCCCAGGATGGCTTAGACATGGACTGATACAGGACAGAGAAACAAACTATCTTGTTTAAGTTACTATCAATTTGGGTCTTTGTATCAGCAGTTGAAACTGTATCCTGATTAATTCAGATGTCAAACTAAGTCATGGGCGTGTTTGCTTGGAAATAGGAAGGAAAGTTCTCAAAGCATCTGTGTGTGGAGAGTGGGGAGGATAGTAAGTAGGAACATCAACTTCCATTTCTATTTCTTCCATCTTAAAATCCTTTGGCTCAGATTCCTCTCCCTTGTACACTGTAAAATGCAGTTATCTTCCTGCTGTCAGGGTTGTTCTTGGCAGAATAGTCATCAGCATCATGCAGGGGCAGGTATTGTAGCCCCATGATGGGCTGTATGGGTACCAGCAAGACACAACTTGAGCTCTGAAGTCAGACACCTTGTGTTCGAATCCTGGCTCAGTCACATACTAGCTTTTCAGAGAGATTGGTGGGATCTGTTTGATAGTAATTGAAACAATGGTTTGAGAGCCAGAGAAGAAAGTGCTTTCAAATTCTGAAAGCTAGCTAAATGACACAGGTCTGTCTCACGGGAGGAGATGATGGAGTGTGTGAAGAGTCCTTGGGATGGTGGTCAGAGCCATCAACACCTTCCTCACCATTCTATTTATTGACTTCCACTAGATTCAAGTGAGTAAGGAGGGATGAAATTACTCCAAGGCTTGAATCAGCTCTGAAGTCAAGTTCTGCCTTTTGTTAAAGTGGAATCCCTGCTCCCTGGATTGGCAATGATTCAAAGCAGATATGCCTGGGGAGTGGGGGAATGAAAAAGGGAGAGGTGGTCTCAGCTAGAGTTCTGGGGAGAGTAAACACAGGAGTTTCTGCCACATGAGAAAGAACTTTTAGTGAGTCATCATACATGTTTTGTTGCCAACATTACAGGGAAGGGTTAAATAAAAGAAGGCAGTTGAGTCAGGTCCATTGTGGAGCTCAGGGACCAGGGGAAGAATATTGATTTCCTCTGAGTCACTTTGGACTGACCTATTAATTCAGGCTCGCTGAGAAGGTGGAAAACATGCAAGTTGCACTTGGCTGCACTTTTAATGCTCCCTTACTGGGACAATCCAATGTCTTCCAAATGAATGCATGGGGGAGGGGTTCAGGGTAGAGGATATAAAGTGAGAAGTGGTCAGGGTACAGTGAGCTTCTGACAGATGCACCTGTGACATCACTCTGCCATCCCTGGTGACACTGTGGATGTTCACTAAGTGTTGATCAACTCTTAAACTGAATGCTGCTCAAAAGAAAGAAGTTAACAAATCTTAGACACACTATAGCTCTGGGCTTCAGGCTCTATAACTCAACCTTGAATTTCTCAACTCTTACCCCCAAAGTGAATCTGCAGTCACCATCTTTTAATCTGGCCTGAAATAGTTTCGTTTGTTACCAAGTTTGTTAAAAGTCATGACTTAGAATTCCATTTCTATCACTTGCTAGCAGTGCATTTTTGAGCAAATTACTCAAACATTTCTACACTTTATTTTTTATGCCTAAGATGACGGTAATTATAGCATCACCTTATGATTTTGTTTTTGTTTGTTTTTAAGATTAGACGATATTGCACATAAGTGCTTAGCATACAGCCTGAATCACAGAAATGTTCAGTATATTTTAACAACTTTGTGATTGTGTTATATATATTTTTGCATTGTATAACGAGCAGATTTCAGAGAACTGAGTATCAAGGAGGGGGATAAAATGGAGCTATATTGGAGCAAGCTTTTTATATTTTACTAGAATTGAATTACTATTAATCTGAAGTAGATTAAACAAATTAAGATTATATTATAATCCCAAAACAATCACTAAGAAAATAATTTTTAAAATATAGTAAAAATAACAACAGAGGAATTAAAAGTTACACTTAAAATATTTATATAACACAAAAGAAGGTGGTAACAGAAGAACCAACTCATTCTTGTTGGCTTGTCCACACAGGTATCTTGTCAAACAGTGGACTGTTGTCCTTTAAATTATCGATGTGGCTGACAGATCACATGGCCCAACCAGCTGTACCATAATCAAATCAGCTGGTCCAATCAGCTATGGCTGAGGAATCACATGATCAAATCAGCTGGTCCATTAGAAAGACACCACATGGTTCCTTACCCACTTAGCCTAGATGTGGATGTGGATTCTTCCAGGAGCTATGAGTTCAGCATCTGAATACATCTGAAGAGGTGGACAGAACCAGCAAGGAATGTTTCCCCCACCCCAGACAAATGAAAAATGGAGCCATTACAAAGATTTTGCATCAATAAGGGATGATGACACAGTGCTGGAGGTAGAGAAGGGGAACAGGAAATTGGGCTCTGTAAGGTTCAGTGAGAAAAAGAAAGCTATACCCCCATCTCATGTCAGGGCCCTTTGATTATTCCTACAATAAGATGGAACTATCTGGTGGAAGGGCTTCCAACCAGCAAGACTCACAGGGTCTGAGATCTAAGACTGCAATTATGATGTAACCTCTGGGTCCAACTTGGAATGGGTCTTGGAAAGTTGGTTGAATGAAATGTTGCATTATCATTGCTCAACTCTGCCTACTCTGGCCACAGGCAATAGCCTTGCCCGTAACTCCCATTATCTGAGCAACCACATTTTGTGCCATGGAATGCCAACCTCATGACCTCTGTTGATTAAACCTGGCGGAGGCCCATGCACATGTCTGAGAGTCTGTTATGTCCCAGGTGAGGTCACCCAAGTTTGTAGTCTGGGCCTTGGGGTAAGGCTTCTAAAACTTTCTTCTCACCTCTGCCTTAGAGATCTACTTCTCTTACTTCTCAACATTTGTCTGTGCCGTTTCCTTTGCATAGAACACATTTCCTCCCCTTTATGTGGCGACCTCCCCACAACACATTGGGGTGGCAATGACTGTAGCACTGAAAAAACTGAGATCCAATCCCAGTCCAGCCTCTTACTCTGGGACTTGGGCAAATTATATAACCTCACTGAGACTCAGTTTATTCATCCTTGATAGGTTATTTGGAGAATTATATTTTAAAAAATGTGTAGAATTTGGCATGCTGTGTGGAACAAAGAAAGACCTCAGTAAATTATAACTTTTGAGGACCATGATAACGATGAAGACAGACAAGATGATGATGATAGTGACATGCCATCTCTTACGGGAATCCTTCTCTGGTTTTGACAAAGATGTGTGCTCTACACTCTTCTGGTCCCCTGAACATCCCCCTGTCACAACACCACACTGCATTGCCATTACTTACTGACTCATTTCTCTCCATTAATAGTAAATTCTTTGTAGTCAGCAACTGTGTCTTATTCACCATTACACAGCCTGGGCTTTGACATACACTGGGCATTAGATTATCTACCCAAAGACTTGGCCTCCTGAAGCTTTTCTTGTCTCTCCCATGGACTGTTAAGAAGATGAGCTATGGAATTAGTCAGACCTGTGTTTGCATCTAGGATATACCAGATATAGGCTAGGTGACCTGTGTCAAGCTACTTAACCTCTCTGAGTTTCATTCCTCCCACCTATAAAATGAAAGTTAAGAACAGTTTCTACCCTATGGGATTGTCGTGAACATTAAGTGATAGACTGAATGTAAAAAGGTTAGCCCATCCATTCATCAAATATTTATTGAGTACCAACTATGTGAAAGGAGATATTCTAGAAGCTGGGGGAAAAACACAAGGAAAATTGCTGCCCTCGTGGGGGAAGTCTGACCACAAAGAAAGAAAAATCCAAATGAATGCATAATAGATTAGAAGGAGAAAATATATGGTAAGAGGATAGAGTAGGGGGATGCTAATTTCATAGCACTCAATAAATGTTTATCATTCTCACTAATATTCTACCCTGACACACCCACCAGGGAAAACAGAGAAGCAACCAACCTCGGAACTTGAGAGAGTTTAGATCTAGGGCTCCATCTCCAGCAGTTGGCTGAGGCTGGTTCTGGCTCCCATACCCATGGAGCTGACTCTGCTGCCAAAGTCTGCCTCCTTCTTACTGGGAAAGAGCAAAAGCCAACTTTTCATGACACCTGTAGTAATCCTTGGTGGAATGTATCTGAAAAGATGCAGGAGAAATTCTTAAAATATATTTCCCTCTGACCACAATATATTCCATATGCTTGGAAACTGTTGGGAGGGAGCCTGGTGTGTTGAGTTACCTCTGGTAAATGTTTCTCTCCCACACTGGGGAAATCCTTATCAGGGGGCTCTCCTACCTGACAGCTGGAAGGAATTTAGGAGAAAATGCAAAGTGCTATTGCAAAAGAGGAATCAAAACCGCAAGAGGACTTGAGAGCTTCTCTCACAGTGAAAGGGTTTAAGGCTTTGGGGGGCTGTTTAGCTTGAAGAATATTCAATTGCTGGGATGGGGTATTAAGAGACCCTCTCCCACAAGAACTTGCTGTGCAAGCTTGGGAAGTCTACTGGCCCCCTCTGAGCCTCTGTTTCCCAATTTGTAAAATGATGGTGAGCCTTATGGTTAGAGTTCTATTAATTGCAGAGGATCTATTTATGAATGTATGGCTTTTTCTGTGGGTTCTTCCCATGGAGGGAAATACCCTCTAAGGAACTGGTGGGTACAGCACTGAGCAGAAATGAAAGGAAGTAGAAGCCAGTCTCCAATTGAGAAGGAAACTCTTTACATTTGTGACTTTCAACCTTAGCTGCTCATTGGAAGCAGCGTTGAGGTCCCCTGTCCAGAGATGGTGATGCCTGGGCATGAGGAAGTTTAAAAAGCTCCCCAGGGGATTCTGATGCTTAAACAGAGGTGAGTTTCCAAGACCAGTCTCATGATCTTGCTAAATCTAATTATTTCCCCTTCCCTTGTGCTATGGAGCTGGCAATTAGATCTCCCTAAGAGGGGCAGGTATATGATGCGTGCTTTAAAACAGAGAGAGCTAAATTCTAGTCCTAGCTCTGCCACTTAATTGCAGAGTAACACATGACAAATTAATGTTTCTGTGCATTAGTTTCTTTATCTGTGAAATGGGGATGAACATCATAGCACCCTCTTCATAGGGTCTGTGGTGATTCATTTAGATATGTATGTAAAGCCTCAGCACGTGTTTTGCACATGGTCAGCACACAGTGATGCTGACAATAACTAATGATGATCGACAATGACCCTCTTGGAAGTGAGCTTCAGGCGACTTAGAACAGTGATTCTCACACTTAAGCATGCATTGGAATCACCAGAAGGGCTCTTTAAAATACAGACAGGTAGACCCCAGCCCAGAGCTCCTGACTCACGGGTTCTGGGGTAGAGACTGAGAATATGCATTTCTGATAAGTTTCCACTGGACGCCAATGCTGCTGGACCAGGAAAGCACACTTTAAGAACCACTGTCTTAAAAGGAAAATAACAACACATCCTTCACACGGTGGAGTTTATCTCCCTCT
Source organism: Homo sapiens (assembly GCF_000001405.40). NCBI lineage: Eukaryota > Metazoa > Chordata > Mammalia > Primates > Hominidae > Homo > Homo sapiens. Next base: position 114,267,991 of record NC_000012.12, read on the forward strand.
TCATTAGGTTTCTATCTCTTTGAGCTTCTAAGGACATGAAAGCACGTAAGTTAGGAACCTGCATAATAGAAACTGAATTTTATGACTTGGCAAAGCCTTAGAGATCTATTCTTCTCTTTTATGTTGCACTTGGAAAAATTAAAGCTCAGAGAGGGGAAGGCATTTGCTCAAGGTCTCACAGCAAGTTAGTAGCAAATCTAGCACAAGAACCAGTTCTGGTCTCCACCTGTTATGGAGCCTGTTGAGGGAGAGAAAGAGGCTTTGAGCCCTCCAGGGTTGGTTCATCATGGGCTGTGATCACAGGAGCCGGAGTCTCAGCTCCATAGTCAGCCACTGCCAAACCTGATCCCAGGGAACCCACTCACCTGAAGAGGTGACCTGTGGCCACTTATTAAATGACACACCTTTTAAATGGCACACCCTACTGCAAACCTTGTGGCTGAAAATTTAAACAGTGAGACTGGCCAAGAGGAAAAGTAGTGATAGCAGCCAGCATGGTACAAATGTGGGGACCCTGCACCCTCATACAGTGCTGGAGGGAATGTCAATTGCTAGAACTTTCCTGGGGGGCAACATGTATTTCTAAGAGGCATCACCCTTTCTGCCTCAGGCTCTAATGTGGCTTGGTATGGCACAGTTAATGATCTTGTCTTTAAAATTTCGATACTTTATTTGTTATGGATGTTTATATGAGTTTTGATTTTTTAAAAATAGCTCATTAAAATATTAGTCATCTTGATTATTGACATTTTTGGTACCCCTGCAAATTTTGTGCCCTGGGCAAGTGCCTTCCTCCCTGCACCCTCATCCTAACCCTGTGAAACATAACCCTGGGCCTCTCACATCATGGAACATTTCAGGGGACTGTGCTTATATGGAGCACACGTTTTGAAATCTGTATTATCATTGCATGTGCTTAAAATAAGCAAAATGCCATGAGTTTGGTTTTGTTTTTCAAGTATCAGGAAGGAAAGAAGAGAGGAAATGAATAAACTTCTTTTTAATATGGAGTTTTTAAGAAATATTTGTGACTATATAACATTTCAAATGGAGTCCTAAGAATATATTAGATTAAAATATATCTATTAAGATATATTAAAATATATTAAAATGCATCTATTAAGATATAGATATCAGATACTTCTCAGTTATCTGATGCCGACACAGTGCTGTGTGAGCAAGAACCACAAAGCCTTAGTGGCCTATGGAATGCCCAATGCTCATGTGTCTGGGGTGAGCAGCCTGGTGACTCTGTTAATCTTGGCTGGGATTGATCACATGACTGGGGGTGGCTGGCTGTTGGCTGGGCAATTGGGAGGACTCAGTTCTGCTCCACCTGTCTCTCACCCTCCAGCAGGCTAGCCTGGGCATGTCCTCACAGTGATGGCAGAAGGGGAGAGAGAGGGAGAGAAAGAGAGGAAACACACAAGGCCTTTTGATGTCGAGGCTCAGTACTGACATGCTGTCACTGCAGGCTGAAGCAGATCATGCGGCCAGCCCAGCTTCAGGGCTGAGGAAATAGACTCTGCCTTGTTGGTGAGGGCATCTTCAAAGTCACTTGGCAAAGGGAACAACAACCGGGGAGCATGAAGAGGGGAAGCTGTTAATGTGCATTATCACAGATAACAAGGTGGTTTTCACATAGATTGTGCCACAAAAATCCCAAAGTAGCTGTCCAAGAATTAACTATTAGTTATTAACTATTAATATTATTAACTAATAATTAACTAATATAATTAACTAATAATATAATAGATGACTCTTAATACCACTCACCTCATCAAGGATATGTAAGGGTCAGAAAAGAAGAACTAAGGAGAATATATTTATTTTTAGAGATTTATCCTAGAAGTTTTACCTCCCCTAAGGAGCAGGGTGGAGATAATATTTTTTACTCCAGGACAAGAAAAGGGAACTTTAAGAAAACTACCTGGAGAATTTCATATAAGACCCCACAGTATGGGATAAACTGTGAACTTGTATCTGACTCCCATATGAGAAATAGGAGACAAAAAAATAGATGGGTTATCTCAGCTGAAACAGAAGTGGTTGCCTTAGGAAAGATCTTCACCTGCAGATTTCATTGGAGCCAAGGATTCTGAGTGTATCCTGTGAACCCACTGTGGACTATGTGTGAGAGAGAGCTGTTGGCTGGTGTGGGTCACCTGTAGTCAACAGGGACACATGGAAGGGTGCACAGGTCCCAGGAGAGAGCAGCCAAAGTATTGCATAATTCCTGGAGGCTCCTGAAGGCTTAAGCAATGAGCTAAGGTGGTGCTCTTTGAGCAGAAGTCAAAAGAGAGGCAAGTGAGGGGTCCCCAGTGATGGGACAACTCCAAGGAACGTACATAAGTGCCCATGAGAGGACAAGTCAGTGCAGAGAGCTTAGAACCATCTTAAGACAGTACCAGTCAAGCAAGAACTTCCATACTCCTTTCCTTTCTCCTGCCTGCCTGGCCCCCACCTGCTCAAACCCAGAAGCCAAAGTTAGCTAGTTAGAGCCAAAACGTGGAGAAACAAGAGACAGGCCAGTTGGCAGGTCCTACCTGGGAGAGAAAAAAAAAAAGATTATTTAATTTTAAAGCCAGTTTGAAAGAGGGGAATAATAGACATTGAAAACTCCAGCATGTACGATAGTGGGAAGAGGATGAGGGCTAAAAAATTACATACTGGGTACGATGTTCACTATTGAAGTGATGGGTATGCTAAAAGCTTAGACTTCACTGCTATGCAATATATCCATGTAAGAAAATTGCACTTGTATCTCTTAAATCTAAATAAAAATTTTAAAAAGTCCAGTTTGAAGTTTGAAAATTAGATGGGACTGTGCCTCCTAAATTCTGTAATGAGATGGTGTCTGGTGACTTAAAGTGACCAGAGGATCTTTTATTATTAAGGAAAAGGTAGGAAGAGCATCAAACTGCATGGATTTTCACCTAGGGACAGCGGGAGAACTCCTCCCCAACCCACCCCCACACACATACACACTCTGAATACATTCTACAGACTAATGGGAAACAAAAATAAAATTGTTTTATGACCACCCCTTCATCCATGCCTTGTATGATATCCCAATTACACTCAAAGTGAAGAAAACTTTTTACCACCTCCTCGCTACATATATGGCAGTGAAGAAGCTGAGACTTCTCTGATCTTGCTTCTTCGCATCGTTGGTTCTGAAACATTCCCTGAATAACACTTTCTGCTCCCTCCAGTGACTTCAGAAAGAACCTAGTGTGAGGAGGAGATGGGATGAAAAGGAGATAAAAGAAGACATCATTCAAAGATGCATACAGGGAAGATCAACCCTCCTGGGGCTCAGGGTGGTTCATGGATAATCCAATCAAGGAGAGGCAGATAGTTAAAGGGGCGGGGGGCGGGGGGGGAGGGAATGCACAAGCTTTATAGCCCAAGGTTTGTTTTCCCATATGTATGGGAAATGATAATATCTTCATAATAGAATATCTTCTTAATATAGTAGTTAGAATTAAAGAGGGATGTGTATATTAAGCTTCTGTGCATAGTAGGTGCTTAATTAATATTTCTTTTTACACACTCTGATTTCAGTCCTAAATATCTTGAGGCCAGAGTCTGAGCGTGGGGGAGTCAGATCTTTTAAGATTCATGTGGGGGTAAAGAATTGCTCTTTCCCAAGCAAGAATGCCAATTCATGTGTCTTTTTCTCCCATTTGCAGTGATTCCCTCAGCTTTTAAAATAATAGAAGAAACACATGGAGCTTATATGGAGTTCATACTTCATCTTAGGAAAAAAAAATCTACAGCTTTTGTTTTACAATGTCTTATTATTTCATTAGCATTTGCAACTGAAATAGGAATAAATCAAAATTCACGAAGATGTTTGATCCCCACTTCTTGGATGTTAAACAGAGAATGACCTGGGCTGTGAAATCTACAGCTGTGCACACAGTTTTCTACAATGTATGTACTTAAGTGCCATACAGTTCTTAAAGGATAATTAATCATTGCTACCCATCATCAACCCTACAGAAAGCAACTAGTTTCTTGCATGTGCCGTGTTCTCTCCCACCATTGGAACCTCATGTAGGCTCTTCACTGTGCCTAAGGCACCTGTCCATCTCAAACTCCATTGTCATCCTCTCAACTTTCAAGTAATTCAGCTCAATTGTCACCACTTCTCAGAAGTTTCCCAGGACCCCTCATATTAGGTTAAAACCATTATATGCTCCTAACACCCAGGACATCCTCCAAAACACTTTGTATCTATGACATCATTAAATTGTTCCTTCTGTGCTCACTTCTAATCTCCATAACAACAGGAACGCTGTTTGTGCATTTATGCATCCCAGCATGTGACAAAGCGTTTGTCACACATTGTTGCTTAAGTTGCATATATTTCCAGTCCCACCTGTATGAACTTACTCTAGTAAAAATTAAACCCCAAGGGAAGAGCCTTGGTGCCTCCAAGCCTCTAAGAAAAAGTTTCTAAAAATGAGCAGAGGGGGAATATATTTTTTACAAAGAATGTTTTGACGGGTACCTCTTAAGTTTGCATTTTCCAAAATGTTCCTTGTTCCCTTGCCTGAATAAACTTTCACTGATTCCCTGATTCCCATTCTAATACCCAAACCAGGCAAAGATCATAATTCACAGGAGTAATATTTGCAGATTAAAATAAAAACAGCCACATTCTGCAAGTAACATTGATGTCTGGCAAAATGTCTCCGCCAGAAAAATATGTGAATGTCGGATGCTTTGCAGGACACGGCCAAATTCCTTTTATTCTCTCAGAAATATAGCAGGGTAGTGCACATTCTGATTTGGATGTACTCCCACTTTCTGGAGTAAGGGAAAATACAATAAAAACCTGGACGATGATCTCATGGAATCCTCAATTTGTCAAGATGCATCTCTTCTAAGTGGCTTTTTTTCAAAGCTTGAGATGCTTCCAAAATATTTATAAAAAGCAGCAGGGCTCTTAAAAGTTAGGAGACAATCAAAGACCTCCAAGAAAAAGAAGAAAGCACGGTTGCTTTGCAACCTCCAACAAAGAAGGAATGAGGGAGGGCAAGCAGGTATGAGCCATGGGGGAAAATTGGGAAGCTCAGCACACTTATGCTTGGCACATCACACTTTTCTTTTGGAATCACATTCTACGGGAGTGAACATTTGCTTTCGAACCTTATTAACCTAGCTGGTAATTAAGTCTGAAGTGTGAGCATTGGCAGAAGATATTTGACATTTAGGCAGCGCATAAACCATTTTCTTGTCTAACTCTTTTTCTTTTTTTCTTTGTTATTACATATGTTAAAGACAATACATTTTTCTCCATGAAGAAGAAAATTTTAAAATATTATCTATTATCTTATGACCCCAAAATAACTTCTAACATTTTAAGAGATGTCTTCTCTCTAGCCTCTGAATGTGTGTCTACACACACACACACACACACACACACACACTTATACTATTTTTTACAAAAACTAGATATTGCTGCGTGTACTGTTTTACCAACTGCTTTGTTTTATTCTTTAAAAAAAAAAAAACACAATCAATAGACAGGCCTATGTTCTGAATCTGCCTTTTATGCCCTGTGTGAATTTGAAGGCATCACTTAAATAATCTGAGTTTCAATTTTCTCATCTGTAAATTAAAGCTCACGGTAGTACCTGCCTCATAAGGTTATTTGAGGACAAACATCATACCAGGCAAATGCTTAGCAAATAGTGAGCCCTGTGTGTGTGTACATGTGCGCTCCCATATAATTAAGTAGTCTTCTTCCACATCATTAAAAAATTCAACATAAAATTCCATTGTATAGACAGTTGAATTAACCATCTTCTTTGTCAGGCATAGGTTCATTTAAAACATGTTCAGCCGGGCGCGGTGGCTTATGCCTGTAATCCCAGCACTTTGGGAGGCCGAGGCGGGCAGATCACAAGGTCAATAGATCGAGACCATCCTGGCTAACATGGTGAAACCCCACCTCTACTAAAAATACAAAAAATTAGCCAGGTGCGGTGGTGGGCGCCTGTAGTCCCAGCTACTCGGGAGGCTGAGGCAGGAGAATGGCGTGAACCTGGGAGGCGGAGCTTGCAGTGAGCTGAGATCCACCCCACTGCACTTCAGCCTGGGTGAGAGTGCGAGACTCCATCTCAAAAAAAAAAAAAATATTCCAAAGTTTGTTGACATATTCATCCTTATTTTATTCTTATATTTCTATGGAGTTGGTATTAGTCATGTGGATAAGAATAGCTAATATTCTACTCTAAGGATCGTCAAATGCTTTCTGTAAAGGACCAGATGGTAGATATTTTTGGCTTTTTGGGCCAGAGTGGCTCTGTCCCAACTACTCAACTCTGCCAAGGTCATGTGAAGTCAGCCATAGACAATACATAAACAAATGTGTATGGCTGTGTTCCAGTAAGGGTTTATTTACAAAAACAGGTGGCAGGCACATTTGGCCCAAGAGCCATTAAGTTTGCTCATCTTTGTGTACTGAATGTCAGCCAATGTTCTAAAGGAGTCACCTGGTGTATTAATCCATTTTGTGTTGCTATAAAGGAATGCCTGAGACTAGGTAATTTACAAAGAAAAGAAGTTTGCTTGGCTCACAGTTCTGCAGACTGTATAGGAAGCATCTGCTTCTGGTGGGGGCCTCGGGGGGATTCCAATCATGGCAGAAGGCAAAGTAGGAGCCAGCATGGTGAGAGATGGAGCAACAGGAGCTGGGGAGGGGCCCCAGACTCTTTTTAACAATCAGATCCCAAACACCTTCCACTGGGCCCACCTCCAACACTGGAGGTTACATGTCAACATGAGATTTGGAGGGGACACACAACCAAACCATATCACTTGGGTAATCTTATTTATTCTCACAGCAACCCTAGAGCGGTAGTAGGTGTGAGTATTCTTCCCATTTTACAGGTAGAAATGAGAAGTAAAATGCCACCTGTTTTCCAGAACGGCAAAGCAAATAAACAGTTGGGTTAGAGCTCACACCCGAGCTCCCAGCTCCCAACTCCTACCTTTTCCTTTTTTACTCCACTCCCTGCCTCTCAAACCCTTTCTCCAAATGAAATCCCAGCATTGATTGTTCAGCAGCCTCAAACAACCTGCTCACATTCTTGGTTTATGAGGACAGCAGCCACAACAGGCAAACCCTTTGACACCCCCTTTCCGGGGTGATTTTGCACATGGTTTAGCAGTGTCTCTGGGAAGGGTGGCTGGGGCCATCGCAAGCCCTGTTTCTACATTTTTAGTCTCATCATTATCCATTCCAGCAATACATTCCAAGTATGATCCTGCCCCAGACTCAACTATGTTAACATTTTTTTGCTTTTCTATGAAGCTCCGGTCTTAGAGATCAAAGTTAGAGGCACAGTCTCTAGGGATCCAGCAGAGAACTTCCAGAAAGAGTCATTCGCTTCTAGTAGGAACATGCAGTGACCCCAACTCACACATGTGCCTTTTTGCTCTGACAGCCACTGAGCACTGCTCTGCAGTGGAGCAGGAGAAAGCCCCCATGCCTTTTTAATTTATTGCCTAAAGAGGCAGGGTTAGAATGTTGCAGAGGATTTCTTGCGTGTAGCTGATCTGAGATTTTCCAAGTTCCAAGAAGGGGTCAAGCGGCAGCTACAGGACATTTTCCAAAATGCAACAACCTATGTGTTTCTGTCCTGGAAGCAAAAGAGGCACTATCAGATGGCTGCTTCTCTCTCATCAGTTTGTCTAACTGATCACTGGAAGAGACTCCAAAGTGTAGATGTCACAATTAAATGCTGTCCAAATAAGGAAACTAGTCAGGGAACAATAGGTCTAACTCTTAGTCTTATAACTACTCAATTCGCTGGCCTTTTAAAAGTCAGGCATAAATCTTTGGGCTAAGCATCTATGCAGGATTTTCACATTTTTTACTCTCTTAGGTTTATATATTGGTGAACATCTTTAATTTTGTTATGTGTTACTACCAAAATACCTGTAGGAATGTTAACAGTCTGAACCAAATGATATTCTCAAACTCATGTAATGTTTTGCAAAAAAAAAAAAAAGAAAGAAAAAAGAGCAAAGATGCAAAGAATGTTTTGTGGTCAAATGAGTTGGAGAAATTCTGCATCGTCTAGTCTTTATCCTTCCTGGAAACTCACAAACCATATTAGCATATTAAAGGCTCTGAGGAGTCCTGCAGAAAAAGATCCTGTTACCCTTTGTTTAGCCCAGCATTTTCCATGGAATATGCACATGGCAAATATCAGCATCCCACAAAACCAGCTCAGCAAAATTCACTTTAGGAAATCTCATTGTAGAGTAATGTTCTCTTTGATTTGTAAAAAGAATCAGCCATCAGCAAGTCTATCATCAGAATGGACTTGCTCATCTCAAAGGTGGAGAGAAATTCTCTCACTGGTCCAGTTTCCATCGTTGGTTGGCACTATCCATTCCTGGGGGCTCACATTTGTGGGAAGCCTGGTGAGAACTTGGAGGCCCATCATAGTCAAGGAATGGAACAAGACCAACTGAGTCAGACGAGAAGAGAGTTTCTTCAGTTTCAGTTTGAGCCAAAACCTGATTTATCTGGGATCATGTTTGGGTCATTTTTTGCCTGCAATCTCAAGTATCTAGAACCAAGCCAAAAACATAGAATTTGGTCAGTTAGTCACACTGATAAGCATGTTGCAATCTCTTTCCAGAATCTAGAGGAAGAGAAAACTCAAAGACCTTTTCTTGTATTGTTTACTGTTGAATTCTGGTGCCTGTCACAAAAGATACAATGGACAAATACTTATTGTAGGAAAAGATGTTCTCCCAGTGTCAGTGTACCTGTCTTGGCAGAAGGGACTTTGTAATGCAGAGAAGACAGACGTCAAACATTAAGAAAAGGCACTGAAATTCAATACACTACAGTCTGGGGCCAGTCAACATTGGGATAAGTTGTTCACCACCAGCCACTGGGGACCCCAAAAGATAGAATTCAGGATAAGAACTGGTATTTGCAATAAGGCATCAAGAAAAGTGCAACTGTTTACAAAGGCAGGAAATATGCAACACAGTTTAGAAAGTTTGCCTTTAAAAAGTTTGTCATCTAAGCAAAGAATGACTTTCTCAGAATTTCCAGCTGTGAGGAGATGAAGTTGCATTGGCTGAACACTTTCTATGCATCAGACAAGTTGCCTCTAGCACACATCATATCATTCAAAACTCTCAGCGAGACTCTGATGAGGAATTGTTTTGCCAGAGGTACAGTTAAGGAGCTGACACTCAGGGAAATTCACCTGCCCAAGCCACTCCCCTGGGAAAGCACAGAGCCAGAGTTGAAGTTTTCGTCTGTCTGACTCCTGTAAGCAAATTAAATATGGCCTGAGAAGGACTCCATACTTCTATATTCGGGTCCTTGTGGACAACCTAACTTAATATGTAGACAAGACTGAAAACCTAACTTAGGAGTATGCACCTGTAACAACAGCTGAGTCTTGGCCAATCCCAGCAGCCATACGTCAACCACTCATACACTGCTGTGTTCAAACTGTGTTCAAATAAAGCAAATGCTGAGCTGTAACCAATCCAGTTGTTTCTGTACTTCACTTCTGATTTCTCTACATCACTTCCCTTTTTTTGTCTATAAATCTTATTCCAATATGTGGCTGTACTGGAGTCTCTCTGAATCTGCTGTGATTGTAAGAGCTACCCGATTCACTAATAGTTCATTGTTCAATTAAACTCCTTTAAATTAAATTCAGCTGAAATTTTTATTTTAGCACTCCAAACTTGACTTTTTATTACCCCATGTTGCCCTTGGCCTAAAAATTTCATATTATAAAAAGACATCTTGATGACAAGGAAACACTTACAGAGTATTAGTTATCTATTGCTTCACAACAAATAATCCCACAATCTAAAACACAAGCATCTATTATGTCACAGTTTCTGTGGGTCAGGAATTTGAGCACAGTTTGGTTCTGGCTCAGGCTCCAGGGCTGTGGTCTTCTCAAGGCTCAGAAAGAGGAGGATCTACTCCCAAGGTCACTTACGTGGCTGTTGGTGGGTGTCAGTCCTCTCTGACAGTTAGCTAGAGACATCACTTTTTTGTTATATGGGCCTTATCACTGGGCAGCCCAATGACATGGCAGCTGGCTTCCCCCAGGGTAAACAAGGAAGAGTACAGGAGGAAGAACATACAAGACAGAAACCAGCATTTGTGTAATCTAATCTCAAATGTGACATAGTATCATGTCTGCCATATTGTATTCACTAGAAAAGGTCACTAAATCTGACCCATACTCAAAGTCAAGAAGACCAGGAAGTGGGAATTATTGGGAGGTCATCTTAAAGACTGGCTATCA